>NW_014040926.1:0-174969 GCF_000001405.40 Homo sapiens
GATCCGCTCACCTCTGCCTCCCAAAGTGCTGGGATTATAGGATTTTTTTTTTAAGAGATAGGTCTCTCTATATTGCCCCAAATGATCTCATATTGCTGGCCTCAAATGATCCTCCTGTCTTAGCCTCCCAGTGTGTTAGAATTACAGGCGTGAGCCACTGTGCCTAGCCCCAAGTTTTTTCACACTCTCTTAGATCAACTTTTTTCATATTAACTTAGACTTCTTATCTTAGACCTGGCTCTGTTTCCAACAGATAAGTTTTCTTCTCTCCTAAATGAAGGCCTTCATTAGATTAAGACCTACCATGTGCCAAGAAGCATAGCAGCAACTGGGAATGCATTTATTCATTCAATCTGCGTTTTTTTGAGTGTATTGTTAGTCAAGACTCTTTTGCACTAAGATTCCAAAAAAGTGGGAGGGGAAGAGAATACTTATTGGCTCACATAACTGAAAATGTCTAGGAATAGCACCAACTCAAATATAGCTGGATTCATTCTCTATTTTTTCTACCTGAACCACAAGGCCTGAGTGGGAGAAGGAGAGGGAGAGAGGGACTCCCTACAGGAAAATCAAGTTGCTGACCCCATGAGAAAAGGGAACGGATGCTGAGAAAGGGAAGCAGATGCCCTCTGATCTAGTTACCTCCTATGCAGCCCATTGGTGACAGAAAGACATCACCCCGAATAGCACAAAATGGCAGAACACACGACAACTAAAATTAAGCAGAAGAAACCAATGAGCAGGCTGGGCATGGTGGCTCACTCCCGTAATCCCAGCAGTTTGGTAGGCCAAGGTGGGAGGATTGCTTGAGCCCAGGAGTTCAAGGCTACAGTGAGCTATGATTGTGCCACTGCACTCCAGCCTGGGTGACAGAGCAAGACCCTGTCTCAGAAAAAGATAAAAGAAAAATTTTTAAAAAAAAAAGAAAGAAAGAAAAAAGAAAAGAAAACACCAAAAAAGAAAACAAACAGAAGCGGATTGCAGGGCCACAGAAGGGTTGCACTCAGGGACAGAACAAACAGGGGCCATGGGAGGTGGGCCTGGCAGTAAACAAGAGGGTGTGGTGACTCCCAGTTTCCAAGAGAGGATGTGATTGGCTTGTTTGAATGATTCCCTGGGCTGGCAGGAAGGTGAAACTGGGTATGTTGAGGACCAGGTGGGTGAAGCTCTTCTGGCTGATGGGGGAACTAGCAGGGTGGGAACTGGCCTTTGGGGCCCCATGAGGCTCAAAGATGCCAGGGCAGCAAATGAATGTCAGACCTTACAACACATCACCTAAAGGGCCTACTGTGTGCCCGGTGTGCTCTTAAACAAGGGGGTTGCTGAGCTGGGTGGTGCCACACACATCTGGTGCTCCTAACTTTGAACTGGAGTCCCTGGCTCCAATAGGTCTGTTCTGAATCCAACTCTTTAAGACCGTCTCTGCTGCCTGCCCTCAGCTTGACTACTTCCCATGGAATCCTGACCCACTTTCAGATATTTAGGAACTTAGAAATCACTTCCTCATATGGAGTTGTCTTTGTTTTGCCCTAAATTCGATTAAAAAAAAAAAAAAAAACCCTAACTATTGAATGACCCATAAAGCCTAAAATATTTACTATCTGGCCTTTTTCAGAATAGCGTACTAGTTCCTGGTCTAGAACAATGAATCTCACTGAGAAGGATGACACCCCACGCCATGGGGCTTAGGCTCAAACCCAGACCTGGCTGTGGGGTCTTGGCCAGTTTACTTTGCCTCTCTGAGCCTCAGTTTCCTCATCTGTAAAATGGTGATGAAAACTACCTACCACAGGATTTGTTTCTGGGATGATGAACATGTTCTGGGTTTAAATAATGGTGATGATTGCACAACTTTGTGAATATACTAAAAAAAATCACTGAATGGTACACTTTATTTTTTAAATCTTTTTCTTTTTCTTTGAGACAGAGTCTCACTCTGTCACCCAGGCTGGAGTGCAATGGCACGATCTCAGCTCACTGCAACCTCCACCTCTAAAACGTTCAAGCAATTCTCCTGCCTTAGCCTCCCAAATAGCTGAGATTACAGGCATGCACCACCACACCCAGCTAATTTTGTATTTTTAGTAGAGACAGGGTTTCTCCATGTTGGTCAGGCTGGTCTCGAACTCCTGACCTCAGGTGATCTGCCCGCCTCGGCCTCCCAAAGTGCTAGGATTACAGGCATGAGCCACTGCACCCGGCCTGAATGGTACACTTTAAAAGGATAAGCTTATGATCTGTGAATTGTATTTCGATTTAAAAAATGATCCTGGACAACACAGTGAGACCCCTCTGTCTCAAAAAAAAAAAAAAAATTAGTGGGGCATGGTGGAGTACGCCTGTAGTCCCAGTCACTCAGGAGGTTGAGGTGGGAGGCTGACTTGAGCCCAGGAATTCAAGGTTACAGTGAGCTATGATTGTGCCACTGCACTCCAGCCTGGACAACAGAGCCAGATGCTGTCTCTAAATAAATAAATAAAAAGGTACAAAAAACCAAACCAAACCAAAACAAAAAAACCCTACCTCCAAAGGCTGCTGTAAGGATGAAGTGAGATAATGTGTGTGAAGAGTTTAGCACAGCACCTGGTACAGGGTAGGTGTTTTCATCATCACCATCATCATCATCGTCTGGAGGCAGGAGAGTCATTTGAAACAAAGGAATGTAAACAAGCTTGATGTTATCAACTGATTGTTATTTTCTATTTTCCACTTTACCTAGAATAGTAAAGCATATGGCTAGCAAGCAAAATCAACATTCATAGAAATCACACTATTAAAAATGTGTATTTTTACAGATAAAAATAAATTTATTTTTCTTAAAATATTATGCTTGACAGATTTGACTATGCAAAAAATAAATTTTTCTTTATGGCAACGACACTGTTAACAAAGCCAAAATAATAGATTAGGGACAAATTTTTCCACATAAAACAAAGGGTTCGCCGGGCGCGGTGGCTCACGCCTGTAATCCCAGCACTCTGGGAGGCCGAGGCGGGCGGATCACGAGGTCAGGAGATCAAGACCATCCTGGCTAACATGGTGAAACCCCGTCTCTACTAAAAATACAAAAAAAAATTTAGCCGGGCGTGGCGGCGGGCGCTTGTAGTCCCAGCTACTCGGGAGGCTGAGGCAGGAGAATGGCGTGAACCCGGGAGGCGGAGCTTGCAGTGAGCGAAGATCGCACCACTGCACTCCAGCCTGGGGGACAGAGCGAGACTCCGTCTCAAAAAACAAAACAAAACAAAAACAAAACAAAAACAAAGGGTTCATACAAAGAATTATCCTAAGAAGTGCATAGGAGCTGGGCGAGGTGGCTCACGCCTGTAATCCCAGCACTTTGGGAGGCCGAGGCAGGCGGATCACCTGAGGTCAGGAGTTTGAGACCAGCCTGGCCAACGTGGTGAAACCCTGTCTCTACTAAAAATACAAAAATTAGCCAGGCGTGATGGTGGGTGCCTGTAATCTCAGCTACTTGGGAAGCTGAGGCAGGAGAATCACTTGAACCTGGGAGGTGGAGGTTGCCGTGAGCGGAGATTGCGCCACTGCACTCCAGCCTGGGTGACAGAGCGAGACTCCGTCTCAAAAAACAAACAAGCAAAAAAACCCCACAAAAATTAGCTGGGCATGGTGGCACATGCCTGTAATCCCAACTACTTGGGAGGCTGAGGCACGAGAATCGCTTGAATCCCGGGGGGGCAGAGGGTGCAGTAAGCTGAGATCATGCCACTGCACTCTAGCCTGGGAGACAGAGGGAGATTCCATCTCAAAAAAAAAAAAAAAAAAAAAAACAGTTCATAGGAAGAAGACAAAGAACCCACTAGAAAAATGGGCAAATGCCCGGGTGCGGTGGCTCACGGATCACGAGGTCAGGAGATCGAGACCACGGTGAAACCCCGTTTCTACTAAAAATACAAAAAAAAAAAAAATTAGCTGGGCGCGGTGGAGGGCGCCTGTAGTCCCAGTTGCTCGGGAGGCTGAGGCAGGAAAATGGCGTGATCCCGGAAGGCGGAGCTTGCAGTGAGCCGAGATCACACCACTGCACTCCAGCCTGGGCGACATATCGAGACTCCGTCTCAAAAAAAAAAAAAAAGAAAAGAAAAAGAAAAATGGGCAAAGGACACAGAGAATTCATAGCAGTTGACTGCAAGTGGCCAAAACACTTAGGAGATCGTGCTCACCCTCACAGGGAGGTCAGGGAATACACATTTACAACCAGAAGATACTATTTTTCTCTTACAATATTGACAACAATTTAAACAATTAGTAATATATGGGGAAGTGTTAATGAGCCACAAATCGCTACCCTTTTTTTTTTTTAGAGACGGGGCCTCCCTATGTTGCCCAGCATAAAATACAGTGGCTACTCACAGGCACCATCAAAGTGCACTGCAGCCTCAAACCCCTGGGCTCCCACCTCAGCCTCTTGAGTAGCTGGGACTACGGGCATGCACTACACACCCAGCTAATATTTTTTAAAAATCGCTCTTTTTTAAAAACTGAAATACAATTCAGATCATAAACTCATGCTTTAAAGCTTGCTACAACCTTTGAGAAAATCATCTGACATTATTTATTAAAATTTAAAACATGCATACATAACTAAATTATTAAAAATTAAAATGCATACTTTTTGACACAGCAATTCCACTTCTAGGAAATAAAACTATGAGTGCTTTTATTAACGATATGTGTGCAAGGAGATTCACTGAAGCACTCATAACCGCAACAAGCAAAAAAACTGGACCCAAGCTACAAGGCCACCAGTGAGAGAAAGCTGCATGAATGAGTCTACATATCTCACATAGGATGTTACTAGCTACTAAAAAGAATGAAATATTGCATATGAATATGAATGACCGCTAGGACATGGTATTATAGTGAAAAAAGCAAGGTGCAGGCTGGGTGCGGTGGCTCATGCCTGTAATCCCAGCAATTTGGGTGTGCAAAGTGGTCGAATCCTTTGAGCCTAGGGGTTTGAGACCAGCCTGGGCAACATGGCGAAATCCCATCTCTCCAAAAAACTTACAAAAAGTAGCTGAGTGTGATGGCACACGCCTGTGGTCCCAACTACTTGGGAGGCTGAGGCGGGAGAACTGCTTGAACCCAGGAAGTCGAGGCTGCAGTGAGTCATGATTGTGTCACTGCACTCTAAGTCTGGGCCTAGAGTGCAGTGGCACAATCATGAGCCTTTAAGAGCCTGTCCCGAAAAAAAAAAAAAAAAAAAAAAAAAAGCAAGGCGCAGAACAGTATTATATGTACAAGATATACAGTATATCCTGTTATGTAAAACTGGGGATGGGGGGCAATGCATATACATAATTGCTTATCCATGCTTAATGCAGCCCTGGAAGGATGCACAAGAAAGGTAACACTGGAAGCTTTTGGGGAGATAACCGGGTACCTGGGGTAGGGGTGAGAGGGAGGCTCATTTTTGAATATTCTTGTGTACCTCTGGAGTTTTGAATCATGTGAATTACTTAATATAATTGTAGATTAATTAATATATCTAAATATATTGGAAAGCTGTCTGCTATGTATTGTTAAATGAAAAAAGTATATTCCAGAACAGTATAGAATGATTCTTTTTGTAGAAAAAGGAAAGAAAGCAAAAGAAAGGAACAAACATCCTAACACTATACACACATACACGCACATATCTTTGTTTAGGCATTAAAAAAAAAAGAAGAATGGGCAGGTGCAGCGGCCCACACCTGTAACCCCAGCACTTTGGGAGGCCAAGGTGGGAGGATGCTTGAGGCCAGGAGTTCAAGACAAGCCTGGGCAACATAGTGAGATCTCATCTCTACAAAAAACTTCAAAAATTAGCCAGGAACGGTGGCTCAAGGCTGTAGTCCCAGCTACTCAATAGTCTGAGGCAGGGGGATCGCTTGAGCCCAGCAGTTCGGGGCTACAGTGAGTTATAATTGTGCCAATGCACTCCAGGCTAGGTGACAAATGCAAAACCCCATCTCAAACTAAACAACTAAACTAAACTAAACTAAAAACAACAGCAACAAAAAAAAGAAAAATGTTCTTTACACATGACCATGCATAACTTCCATAATTTAAAAAAGAGTATTAAAAATAAATTGCCTTTGTTTTTATTTGTTGTCACAATGCTTAATAGTTTTGAGCTGATGACTCTGGTCTGGAAGATTTTCATGCAAATTCTCAGTATCTCAGACACAGCAGGAAGAGCTTCTCTTGTCACCCTGAGACCTACTCTGCAGGTTGGACGTTGCTTTCCCTGTCCTCAGAAATTTCAAGTTCTGTATTTTTAACCCAACAGCCTTGGCTCTCCAAGCACCTTCCTGCAGAGGTGAGAAAGATGCAGACTTCCCAGGATGTTAAAGAGATCAGAGGAGATGTTTTGGGAAACAGAATGAGAGAGACAGGAGCAGGGGGAGGCACGGGAGGCTCCTGGAACCCAGTGCCAGCCTCTGCCCTCAAGGAGCTGGGTAGAAGCCCTTCCAGCTCCCCACGGCTGCCTGGGTGTCAGTTCTGTTCCGGCCCCTAAGAGTCGCATTTTTGTTATTTTGGCAGGGGTAGACAGTTATAGGGCTTCATTCCTCAGTGACATCCCTGTGATGCTTCATTCCCACATATCATGAAGGGCTGGGCTGAGTCTTACATGGTTAGTCGCAGTGGAATCTCCAGCCAGCTTGGTTTCCACTAACCTGCTGGCTTTCTTGGATTGATTTACCGGTTATGTGCATCAGAGTCCCAGAGACTTGGTCTTCAACCCTATCTCTGCCACATACTATGTATGGGATTCCGGCCAGGTGACTTAACTTCTCTAAGCCTCAGTCTCCTCATCTGGAAATTGGGGGTGAGGGCGAATAAGCTCCTTTTCATGAAGATTTTGTGAGAGGCATGATGCTTCTAGTGAGCCTGGCACAGGGTGGATGCCACATCTGAAGCCACTGGCCTTAGGCTCAGTGGAGTCACAGCAAGTGGGAGGTGGCAGTGTGAGGTCACAGCAGTTCCTCTGTCCTGAATGAGCTGTAACCCTGGGAGTAACCTCATGATGTGAGCTGGATGGGCACTGCATGCATGTGCATTTGTGTGGGAATGCGTGGGCCTGAGTAGGAGGGAAAGCATGTCTAGAGTTGTCTCTTCCAGGTAATAACATAACTAGCTGGTTCAGTGAGAACTGCGGGCCAACTGTCTGCCATCTTGAAGCCCGAAAAGCAAGAATCAAGGGGCTGTCTCAGCCAAGGCTCTAAGGCCCAGTTTATCAACATAGGCCTTTAGGGGAGCCGCGGCTTAAGGTGCAGATATGGCCAAGTCCAAGAACCACACCACACACAACCAGTCCCGAAAATGGCAAAGAAATGGTCTCAAGAAACCCCGATCACAAAGATACGAATCCCTTAAGGGGGTGGACCCCAAGTTCCTGAGGAACACGTGTTTGCCAAGAAGCACAACAAGAAGGTCCTAAAGAAGATGCAGGCCAACAGTGCCAAGGCCGTGAGTGCACGTGCCGAGGCTATCGAGGCCCTCGTAAACCCCAAGGAGGTTAAGCCCAAGATCCCAAAGGGTGTTAGCCGCAAGCTTGATCGACTTGCCTACATTGCCCACCCCAAGCTTGGGAAGCGTGCTCATGCCCGCATTGTCAAGGGGCTCAGGCTGTGCCGGCCAAAGGCCAAGGCCAAGGATCAAATGAAGGCCCAGGCTACAGCTGCAGCTTCAGTTCCAGTTCGGGCTCCCAGAGGTGCCCAGGCCCCTACAAAGGCTTCAGAGTAGAGATCTCTGTCTGCCAGTGTGAGGACAGAAGGACTGCTGCGATCCCTCTGGGCTGCCGTCTGCATGGGGCTGGGGTCCTACTGTGCTATTTATACAAATAAACCTGAGGCAGGATGAAAAAAAAAAGATCGCCCTCTAAGTCCCTCGTGGGGCATAGTCAGCAACTCTCCCCCTTGTTCTTCTGCTCCTCACACCTCAAGTGAGATTGGACAAGCACTGTCATTAATTATTTCAGAGGTAACCGAAGCAGTGCTCGCCACCCCAACAGCTGAGGCTGCAAATGCCAGGTTGGTTTTATTTTTCAGGGAAATAGTTGCATCCACCAATCACAAGCCCATCCTGTTGAGTGCCCAGCGGTGGGTTGGGCTGGGTGAGGGGATGGTACCTAGTTCTGGCCCTGATGGGGCTTTTGGGGTGGCCTAGAGGGGTAGGGAGAAAGGTCACCTGAGAACAAGCTAGTCCCCTGCTCTGGGAGGCTGGCTCAGTGCGAGAGCTGGGCCTTTGAGAGTGGGAAGGACTGGGATAGGTGGGGATGAGAACCTGGGTTTGTGTCCAGGCTCCTCACTTCTTAGCCGTGTGACCTTGAGCAAGGTCAAACACCTTGCCTCCATTTCCTCATTCTAGGCAATTGGTCAGGCATTTGGAAACATCACGCTGGGCACGGTGGCTCACACCTGTAATCCATGCACTTTGGGAGGCCGAGGCAGGCAGATCATTTGAGGCCAGGAGTTTGAGACCCTGGCCAACATGGTGAAACCCCGTCTCTACTAAAAATACACAAAAATTAGCCGGGCATGGTGGTGGCACGCGCCTGTAGTCCCAGATACTCAGGAGGCTGAGGCGGGAGAATTGCTTGAACCCAGGAGCCGGAGATCACAGTGAGCTGAGATCACGCCACTGCACTCCAGCCTGGGCGACAGAATGAGACTCCGTCTCAAAAACAAACAAATAAACAAAAAAGCATTTGGGTGGGAAGGGGGTGAGGGATAAAAGACTACAAATTGGGTGCAGTGTATACTGCTCAGGTGATGGGTGCACCAAAATCTCAGAAATCACCACTAAAGGACTTACTCATGCAACCAAATACCACCTGTTCCCCAATAACCTATAGAAATAAACAATTAAAAAACAAAACAACCCATTGTACTGTGGAAGCAGTGGGAATAGCCAGAAGAGGAAACCGAGGTTCAGGCAAGCACAGTGACTGCCCGAAGCCACACAGTGAGTCACTTCCAAGCAGGACCCACAAGAGTCCCAGCCCAGGGTTGTAGCCTCTGTAACCTCTTTCCCATGGCCTCCTATGGTTCTCTCCTGTTCCCAGGCCCATCCCCATGGGCCCCATGTGCTTGGTGGCTGCTCTCTTCCTGTGATCCTGGAAACAGGCCTGGCACTGCCCAACTAATCTGGGTGCCCCATAACTGTCCTTCCCCTCCAGTGCATGAAGTTTGTTAAATGCTTCCTCTGAGTTCTCAGAGTAGGTCCAAATGGTGGCTCATCTGAAAAATGATGGGGTAAGATATGCTAAACTCCAACACTGGGGAATGGAAGGGATTTTCTTTTTGCCCAGGAACCCCTCCGAACCTTGGGGATTTCTGTCCTGAATTCAAGCTATTCCCACCACTTCTGTAGTATGATGCTTCCAAATTTCTGACCAAGAGCCTAAGAAGTTTCAAACAGCGGCTCACACAGCCGGATTGGCAGCACACAGCCTGGCAGCGAGGCCCTGAAACCTCACTGTCTGGATTTAAATCTCCAATCCACCACTAACTAGTTGTGTGACCTTGAGCAAGTTGCTTCACTAATCTGTGACTCCATTTCCCATATGAAAAATCGGCTGGTGGCCGGGCACGGTGGCTCACGCCTATAATCCCAGTACTTAGGGAGGCCAAGGTGGGTGGATCACCTGAGGTCAGGAGCTCGAGACCAGCCTGGCCAACATGGTGAAACCCCGTCTCTACTAAAAATACAAAAATTAGCTGGGTGTGGTGACAAGCACCTGTAATCCCAGCTACTCGGGAGGCTGAGGTAGGAGAATCGGTTGAACCTGGAAGACGGAGATTGCAGTGAGCCGAGATAGCACCATTGCACTCCAGCCTGGATGACAAAGTGAGACTCCGTCAAAAAAATTAAAAAAAGAAAAAAGAAAAATGGGCTGGCTTCTTTGGTTTCCTTGTTAAAAAAAAATTTTTTTTTAAAAAAGACAAATGGGGATAATAATAGTACCTATCTGATAAAGTTAGTGTGAAGTTTAAATGAGATAATACACGTAAGTGCTTCACCTGGTGCCAGGCCCATAATAAGGGCTCAATATCTGTCTCCCCACTTAGAGTGCAAGCTTGTTGAGGACAAGGATCATGTCTGTTTCGGACCTCGCACATAATGGACACTAAAATAAACAAACAAACAATTTAAATTTAAATTTGCTAGACCAGGCAGGGTGGCTCACATCTATAATCCCAACACTTTGTGAGGCTGAGGCAGGCAGACAGCTTGAGCCTAGGAGTTTAAGACCAGCCTGGGCAACATGGCAAAACCCCATCTCTACAAAAAAAATGCAGAAATTAGCTGGGCATGGTGGTGTGCATACCTGTAGTCCCAGCTACTCGGGGGGCTAAGGTGGGAGGATTACCAGAGCCCAAGAGGTCAAGTCTGCAGTGAGACATGATCGTGCCATTGCACTCCAGCCTGGGTGACAAAATGAGACCCTGTCTGAAAAAAAAAAAGCCAGGCATGGTGGCTCACGCCTGTAATCCCAGCACTTTAGGAGACCGAGGCCAGTGGATCACTTTGAGATCAGGAGTTTGAGACCAGCCTGGGCAACAGGGTGAAACCCAATCTTTACAAAAAACACAAAAATTAGCTGGGCACGCCTGTGGTCCCAGCTACTCGGGAGGCTGAGGCACGAAAATCGCTTGAACCTGGGAGGTGGAGGTTGGAGTGAGCCAAGAGCGCGCCACTGCACTCCAGCCTGGGTGACAGAGTGAGACCCTGTCTCAAAAATAAATAAATAAAAATAAATAAATAAATGTGCAGAATCGGAAAGCATGTGCACAGGATTCCAGTTCTTAGTTCTGAGACTCACGTTTGGAATGAATGATGTTTCATACTTGCTTTTAGACTCATACTTCTCACATTCTGCTCGCACAAGATTGCGCATCATTAGATTTGTGCTTTTTGGCCTTTACCACAACTGTAATACAATTATGTAATTTTTCATCGACGATTTGCCTTCCTTTCTAGACTATAAAATCCATTCAGGAAAGGCCCCTGCCTACTTTGATTACCCCCTACTATACCCATAGGCTTAGCACTGGCTCTGGCAAACATTAAACACTCAACAAATATTTTTCAACTGACTGATGGCTCAAAAGCTTAGCAGAAGATTAGTTAGTGAATGGAGTGGTTAATGAATAGAGAAAACTTGCTTTTTAAAAAGACTAATGAGGCCGGGCGTGGTGGCTAACACCTGCTGAGGCAGGAGAATGGCGTGAACCCGGGAGGCGGAGCTTGCAGTGAGCCGAGATAGAGCCACTGCACTCCAGCCTGGGCGACAGAGCGAGACTCTGTCTCAAAAAAAAAAAAGACTAATGAGCTGGGTGTGGTCACGTGTGCCTGCAGTCCCAGCTACTTGGGAGGCTAAGGAGACTGGATCCCTTGAGTCCAGGAGTTTGAGGCTAGCCTGGGTAACACAGACAGACCTCATCTCTAAAACATAAATAAATAAAAAGCAAAAGACTAGCCAGGTACAGTGGCTCACACCTGTAATCCCAACACTTTGGGAGGCCAAGGTGGGAAGATACTTGAGCTCAGGAGTTCAAGACCAGCCTGGGCAACAAACACAGCAAAACCCTGTCTTTACAAAAAATTTTAAAAATTAGCCAGACATAATGGTGCACACCTGTAGTTCCAGCTACTCAGGAGGCCGAGGTGAGAGGATTGCTTGAGCCCAGGAATTTTAGGCGGCAGTGAGCTTTGATCAACCGTGCCACTGCGCTCCAGCCTGGGTAACAAAATGAGACCCTGTCTCTAAAAAAAAAAAAATAAAATAAATAAAGAATAAAGAATTTTAAAAGACCAATAAAACACTAGTAAAATGTTAATACTCTATATAATAATATATTAAGATATATGCAGTTAGTGCAAGAATTCATTTAATATAAATAGCCAGGTATCACTAATTCTTACGTATTATTTGTTACTGCTAGGCTTAACCTTGACTTAGAGCTCTGGCTAGAAGAGAATATATCTTTTAATCAATTTTTCAACTCTTAACAGTCTAAAACTTCCCGGGATGTATATCTAAATATCTCCGTGGGGCTTAAAAACACCTTAGCAATAAAAGCCCTTATACATGGCTTTCCTTAGGAGCCAATGCTGTCCTATTCATAGCCATAAAGACTACATCCTTTCAACTGGGAGTACTAATCAGCTTTGCTGTTTCCTCTTCTTTCTCTACTCCTATTTTCCCCCCTGTATTTCAATCCACAGAAAGAAGAAAAAAACAAGAAAGGAAAGAAAGTGCCAAATCATGCAGTTTCTGCCCTTACCAGAAGCGTGAACCTTTTAATTGCCGTTCCCTGAGTGGAAAAAGATTTCTCTTCATCTGCTAGCTTTTCTCTAGTGATTTTTTTTTTCCTCTTCTTTTTTTGGAGGAAATTGCTTGTAGCTTCTCCCCTTCCCTTCTGACCAATTACTTAGCTGGGCATGCTGTAAAATAAAGTTTACATTAAATCGTCTCCATGGCAACCTCACACACCAGATCTCTAGTTTTAAAGCAATCATATCCCTTTTCCCATTCAAGCTTGCCAAAAAGTAACTTTTCTTGAAAGTACACAGACAGAACCTAATAAGGTTTGTAAAGAGAGATAAATTGGTTGCACAAGATAGGGGTCCCTTGATGGAGAACATGAGATGAATTCCTGAAAAAATATCTCCTGTAAACCATGGTTATTTACAGTGTGCTCAAACCATTTTAAGTCTCCATAAGAAAGCTTGTTGAATTGTAAATATCAGGGGGAGCTCTCATTTTTGGAGCACCACCCAGTCCGTGCTAGACACTGGTCTGAGCACTTTCTATCCATGAATTACCTCATTTGATTTAATCCTAGATGTATCCTGCAGAGATTTTTTTTTTTTGCCCACAGATTGTCATTAGCGCCACTGGGCATCTGCTCATGTCGAAAATGTTTCAGTCTCCAAATTAACTACTTAGAGACGAAGTGTTCTTACACATACCTCCTAATAACAATAACAGCTGCCATTTACTGTGCTATGTCCACTGCCTGGAGATGTGCCTACCTCATCTCAGTTAATCATGAGAACAAGCTTAGGAGATCCTATTATCCCCTATTACAGATGAAGTAATTGAGGTTCACGGAGGGAAGGCAACTTGCTTACACAGCTAGGAAGTTGCAAAGTTGGGATTTGAACCAAGGTGGGTTTGGTCCCTGTCTTAGTTTGTTCTGGCTGCTATAACAAAAGACCATAGACTGGGTAGTTTGTAAACAACAGAAGTTGGCCAGGCGCGGTGGCTCACACCTGTAATCCCAGCACTTTGGGAGGCCGAGGCAGGTGGATCCTTACCTGAGGTAAGGAGTTTGAGACCAGCCTGACCAACATGGTGAAACACCGTCTCCAAATACAAAAATTAGCCGGGCGTGGTGGCAAGAGCCTGTAATTCCAGCTACTTGGGAGGCTGAGGCAGGAGAATCACTTGAACCCGGGAGGCAGAGGTTGCAATGAGCCGAGATTGTGCCATTGCACTCCAGCCTAGGTGACAAGAGTGAAACTTTGTCTCAAAACAAACAAACAAACAAACAAACAGCCAGAAATTTATTTCTCTCGCTTCTGGACACCGGGAAGTCCAAGACCAAAGCACTGGCAGATTCAGTGTCTGGTGAGGGCCCAGATGGGAACACAGCAAGGAGGCCCTGATCGTGCCTCCTTTATATCTTCAGATTAGACTTTATGGCTATGAGGACACCATTGGCTCCTTAGGAAAGCCACGTATAAGGAGTTTCACTGCTAAGGTGCTTTTAATCCCCACAGAGATATTTAGAGATACATCTCAGGAAGTTTTAGACTGTTAAGAGGTGAAAAATGGGTTAAAAAATATTTTCTCTCCTAGCCAGAGCCCTAAGTCAAGGTTAAGCCTAGAAGTAATAAGTAATAATAATTATGATACCTGGCTATTAACATTAAACTAGTTCTTGCTCTAACTGCACGTATCTTAATATATTATTAAATAGAGCATTAACATGCTCACACATGGTAGGAGTGAGGGGTCTCTCTTGGGTCTCTTTCATCAGGGCACTAATCCCAGCCATGAGGGCTCCATCCCCAAACCTAATCAGCTCCAAAAGGCCACACCTCCTAATAGCATCATATAGGGAGTGAGGATTTCAACATAGGAATCGAGGGGGTGGGACATAAACATTCAGACCATGGCTGTCCCAGAACAGGTACTCTTGTCACTCTGCCTCCCAGAAATTCTCCCAGCTAGGGAAACAAGGAAGAGAACATCCCTCTGCAGATGACATGGGTTTCCAGGTGTGGGTGTGAATGCCCTGGGCAGGCTCTGGACCAGGGGTGAGCAACTCTGGACCATGGGAGGTGAAGAAAAGAAGGAGTAGTCGCTCTCCCCTACTCCTTAAAGTTGCTGAGTTTTCATTGGTTCTCACCAACTGTAGTACTCATCTTTCTCTCTCCTCTCCCTCAACTTTTTGATCTGGCCACCTCCTACTCAACCTCCAAGTCTCAATTTAAAAGCTACCTCCTCTATGAAGCTTCCCTGTCTTTTCAGACAGAGTTCAGCCTGACAGATCTGGCTTAGTCACTTATGAGCTGTAGGACTTGTGCCAGATTTCTGTAGTTCTCAGAGCCCCAATTTGCTCATGTGTAAAATGGGGGCTTCACAGGGTCATCATGAGGTTTCAATGTGTTCATGGATGATAAAAGTACATAGCAGAGCTCCCAGCCAAGGGAGTTCAGCAAATGTCAGTTCCTGTTATTGGCCTTCTGTGGCATTTTATTCCCTTTTCTATTATCATAATTATCTTATTTGTAGCTTGCACATCTCCCCAATAATTGGTGAGGCTTTGAGGGCAGGATCCTTATTTTCTCTTTTGTATCTCCAGCCCTGGCACCAGCAAACATTTGTTGATTGAATGTATGAAAGATTATCTGGTACCATCTCCCAGAGCATTGGGCTCCTGGGAACTGTGGCCTGGAAGGAGTGGGGTGCTGGGGCTTCCCATGCTTCTCAAATGCAAATAGTTCTGAGAAAGATCACTAGACCAGCCAACCCTCAGCTGGGCTTGGTTGGTGTGCAGCTGAGAGAGACCACCATCTAGGGACCTGGGTTAGGAAGATGTATGCCCTGGGGGCAGGAAGATGGAAAACAACTTTGACCACTGCCAGCCTAGGCTAGGTCACTCTGAATAACCTTATGGTGTTTTGAATCAATTTTTTTTTTAAAAAGCAGAGCATATACAAATAAATAAAATAACAACAATCATCTTTTAGGCCTCCCAAATCTTGTGTGTTTCTGGTTCTCCATCCATTGATGCCAGAGGTTCCTAAGACTGGTCCATGAAGGCAAAAATAAAAATAAAAAAGGTTGCAACCTGTGGGCAAACGTGTGTGGGGAGGGACATGGGAGGGAGGGAACTGCCCACTCACAGCAGACTCCAGGTCTCCCTGCAAGGCTGCGGGCATTTTGTTTGGCCCAGCCTCTCTCCTCCTGTGTCTAACACTGTGGCCACCCGAGGAAACTGAAGAAAGGGCTTCCTCTGGGCTGGTCAGCTGCTGACCTGCTCAGGCTCATGACAGCTTTCAGACAGTGGATCCTCAGCAAACCCCTAAAGGGGATGGCTGAGGCTGAAAAGAGAGGAGGCAGGATGGTTTCTGCAAAGAACCAGGATCGCAGATGCGGCGCTTGGCCACGCTCCCCACCAGTCCGAGCTTGCGTGTGCTCAAATCACTGTCTACGCCGCTGTAGCTGCTGCCTGGCTTTCCCTGTTCCATCTCACCACTGGCACAACCTTGGGGCATGGGCAGAACTGGAAAGAACTTAGGCCGGGTGCAGTGGCTCATGCCTGTAATCCCAGCCCTATGGGAGGCCGAGGCAGGTGGATCACCTGAGGTCGGGAGTTCTAGACCAGCCTGGCCAACATGGTGAAACCCCGTCTCTACTAAAAATATAAAAATTAGTTGGACGTGGTGGAGGATGCCTGTAATCTCAGCTACTCGGGAGGCTGAGGCAGGAGAATCACTTGAACCTGGGAGGCAGAGGTTGCAGTGAGCCAAGATCAAGCCACTGCACTCCAGCCTGGGTGACAGAGCAAAACTCTGTCTCAAAAAAAAAAAAAAAAAAAGCATGTGCAGAACTGGAAAGAACTTAGGCCAGGCGCAGTGGCTCACGCCTGTAATCCCCAACACTTTGGGAGGCTGAAGTGGGCGGATCACCTGAGGTCAGGAGTTCAAGGCCAGCCTGACCAACATGGAGAAACCTCATCTCTACTAAAAATAAAAAATAGCCAGTTGTGGTGGCGCACGCCTGGAATCCCAGCTACTCAGGAGGCTGAGGCAAGAGAATCACTTGAACCCGGGAGGCAGAGGTTGCAGTGAGCCGAGATTGAGCCATTGCACTCCAGGCTGGGCAACAAGTGTGAAACTCTGTCTCAAAAAAAAAGAACTGGAAATCACCTGATTTCCATCAACACTTTCACAAGTGCCTGTTGTGTGCCTGACCCTGAGGATACAAATAATGATGCTGATAATTAGTATTAAATATGTGCTTACCTCATGCCAGGCCCAGCCTAAGCACTTTACAGATAACAGCTCATTTAGTTATAACGCTGGACGACAGATGTTATTCTTGTTACTTTCATTTTACAGATGAGGAAACTGAAGCACAAAAAGGGTAAGTAACTGTCCCAAAGCCACATAGACAGTAAGTGGCAGAGCCTTGATTTGAACCCAAGCAGTCAGACTCCAGGCTCTTGGCCACTTGAGGTGCTCATGGGTTGGTGGGTTTCTGTGGATGACAGACAAAGAAACAGGCCATTTCAGGGATATTATAGATTTAGTTTCTCTAAGCCACTTAAAACAAAATGCATTTGCCTGTCGTCAGGGTGTCAGCTACTAGCCCCACCCTGGGAGTTAGGTAAAGGATCTCTGGAAGACATAGGTAAGCTGAGATTGGAGAAGGGAGAGAGGGTGGAAAGGAGACCCAAGACAAGAGAGCAGCATGGGCAACGGTGTGTGGACAGGAGTGAGGTGCAGAGAAGAGCAGTGTCTGGCTCCGGGGCCGACAGAGAGCTGGTGGTACAGCCAGACCCAGAACCCAGGTCTCCAAACCCCTATACCTATCCCACATTGTCTGTTAGGATTCCCGCTGCAGCAAGCCCAGCCAGTGTTGTAAAACTGCTGCTAAGTACTGGGAGACTCAGAAGAGCAGAATATGGACCTTCTAGCTGGGAGCATCCTACAGATTTGTACGGATTGATTGAGGAACAAGACCAAGTAGTAGAGGGCAATTACTCAGCATTTTGGCAGAGATGAGCAGCTCCTAAATCAGTGCTTGTGGTGCCCTTCCCCATCTTTCAACTTCATTTCTCTCTCTGTCTTTCCCCTCTGTAGTAGGTTGAAAAATTGTCCCTCAAAATACGTCCAGGCCAGAGACAGTGGCTTACGCTTGTAATCCTAGCACTTTGGGAAGCTGAGACAGAAGGATCGCTTGAAGCCAGGAGGATCGCTTGAAGCCAGGAGTTCCAGACCAGCTTGGGCAACATAGCGAGACCTCATTTCTACAAAATTTAAAAATTAGCCAGGCATGTTAGTGCATGCCTGTAGTCCTAGCTATTCAGGAGGCTGAGGCAGGAAGATGGCTTGAGCCTAGGAGTTCAAGGGTGCAGTAAGCTCCGATCACTCCACTGCACTCCAGCCTGAGATCCTGTATCAAAAAAAAAAAAACTATATCCTAATTCTGAAAACCTGTGAATATTACCTTATTTTGTAAAAGGGTCTTTGCAGATTTAATTAAGTTTAGGGTTTGAGATTGGGAAGATTATCTTTGATTATCCCGGTGGGCCCTAAATCCAATCACAAGTAACCTTATAAGAGAAAGGCAAGGGATGTTGGCCAGACAGAGGAGAAAGCCATGTGAAGACAGAGAAGAGACAAAGCAGCCACAAGCCAAGGAAGGCCACCAGCTACCAAAAGCTGAAGAGGCAAGGAATAGACTCACCCCTTGAGACTCCTTAGGGAGTACTGCCTTGATTTAGGACTTCTGGCCTCTAGAATTGTGAGAAAATAAACTTCTGTGGCTGTTGCTGTTGTTGAGACAGTCTCATTCTGTCGCCCAGGATGGAGTGCAGTGGTGCGATCATGGCTCACTGCAACCTTTACCTCCTGGGTTCAAGCAATTCTTGTGCCTCAGCCTCCAGAGTAGGTGAGATTACAGACATGTACCACCACACCCAGCTAATTTTCATATTTTTAGTAGAGACAGGGTTTTGCCGTGTTGGCCAGGCTGGTCTTGAACTCCTGGCCTCATGTGATCCACCCACCTCGGCCTCCCAAAGTGCTGGGATTACAGGCATGAACCACCACACCCAGCCATTGTTTTTTGAGACAGAGTCTTGCTCTGTCACCTGGGCTGGAGTGCAGTGGCATGATCATGGCCCACTGCAGCCTCAACCTTCTGGGCTCAAGCGATCTTCCTGCCTTAGCCTCCCATGTAGCTGGGACCACAGGCACATACTGCAACATGGGCTAATTTTTTTATTTTTTTTTTTTATTTTTTTTTTTTTTGTAGAGCAAGTCTCATTATATTGCCCAGGCTGGTCTTGAACTCCTGGGCTCAAACAATCCTCCTGCCTCGACCTCCCAACTTGCTGGGATTACTGGCGTGAGCCACTGCACCTGGCAACTTCTCTTGTTTTAAGTCATCAAGTTTGTGGAGATGTGTTACAGTGGTCACAGGAAACTTAATAGGCCTTCCCCCAGCCCTTTTTTCTCACCTCCTTTTCTGATCTTTCTCCTCTGGGAAGAAGTGAGGAAACAGTGATGGAGAAAGGGGGTTTTTCTGATTTAAGCTTCAGGTCATTTCCACCCTGAAGGTCTTCTGTCCTCCTTGGGAGTCTGATCATTTAAAGCCTCCTCTTCTGCTCTTTGCCAAGCCCTATATCCTTATCCTATGTCACCAGACATGTCCTGGCCACAGTCTGGGACATCGCTCAGCCTCTCACTTACACATGGGACTTGGGACCCAGAGAGAGGCTCTGACTTGCCTCAGGTCACACAGTGAATTAGTGGCAGCTCCAGGGCAAAGACAGGTGCATCCTTCTCCAACATCTCTCCTACTTTGTTTCCCAGCTGCTGCTAGCACAGAGCGGGGCTCACAGTAGCCATTTGGTAACTGACCAAGAGAGGCAATATGGGACAATGGTGAACAGCATGGGCTTTGAAAACACATGAACCGGTGCATTGGACTCTCTCTCTCTCTCTCTCTCTCTCTCCCTCTCCCTCTCCCTCTCCCTCTCTCCCTCTCCGTCTCCCTCTCCCCTTTCCATGGTCTCCCCTCTCCCTCTCTTTCCACGGTCTCCCTCTCATGCCAAGCCGAAGCTGGACTGTACTGCCACCATCTCGGCTCACTGCAGCCTCCCTGGTTGATTCTCCTGCCTCAGCCTGCCCAGTGCCTGCGATTGCAGGCACGCGCCGCCACGCCTGACTGGTTTTCGTATGTTTTTGGTGGAGACGGGGTTTCGCTGTGTTGGCCGGGCTGGTCTCCAGCTCCTAACCGCGAGTGATCCGCCAGCCTCAGCCTCCTGAGGTGCCAGGATTGCAGACGGAGTCTGGTTCACTCAGTGCTCAATGGTGCCCAGGCTGGAGTGCAGTGGCGTGATCTCGGCTCACTACAACCTCCACCTCCCAGCCGCCTGCCTTGGCCTCCCAAAGTGCCGAGATTGCAGCCTCTGCCCGGCCGCCACCCCGTCTGGGAAGTGAGGAGCATCTCTGCCTGGCTGCCCATCGTCTGGGATGTGAGGAGCCCCTCTGCCTGGCTGCCCAGTCTGGAAAGTGAGGAGCCTCTCTGCCCGGCCACCATCCCACCTAGGAAGTGAGGAGCGCCTCTTCCCGGCCGCCATCACATCTAGGAAGTGAGGAGCGTCTCTGCCTGGCCGCCCATCGTCTGAGATGTGGGAAGCGCCTCAGCCCCGCCGCCCCGTCTGGGATGTGAGAAGCGCCTCTGCCCTGCCGCGACCCCGTCTGGGAGGTGAGGAGCGTCTCTGCCCGGCCGCCCCGTCTGAGAAGTGAGGAGACCCTCCGCCTGGCAACCGCCCCGTCTGAGAAGTGAGGAGCCCCTCCGCCCCGCAGCCGCCCCGTCTGAGAAGTGAGGAGCGTCTCCGCCCGGCAGCCACCCCGTCCAGGAGGGAGGTGGGGGTCAGCCCCGCCAGGCCAGCCGCCCCGTCTGGGAGGTGAGGGGCGCCTCTGCCCGGCCGCCCCTACTGGGAAGTGAGGAGCCCCTCTGCCCGACCAGCCGCCCCGTCCAGGAGGGAGGTGGGGGGGTCAGCCCCCCGCCTGGCCAGCCACCCCGTCCGGGAGGTGAGGGGTGCCTCTGCCCGGCCGCCCCTACTGGGAAGTGAGGAGCCCCTCTGCCCGGCCGCCACCCCGTCTGGGAGGTGTGCCCAGCAGCTCATTGAGAACGGGCCATGATGGCAATGGCGGTTTTGTGGAATAGAAAAGGGGGAAAGGTGGGGAAAAGATTGAGAAATCGGATGGTTGCTGTGTCTGTGTAGAAAGAAGTAGACATGGGAGACTTTTCATTTTGTTCTGTACTAAGAAAAATTCTTCTGCCTTGGGATCCTGTTGATCTATGACCTTACCCCCAACCCTGTGCTCTCTGAAACATGTGCTGTGTCCACTCAGGGTTAAATGGATTAAGGGCAGTGCAAGATGTGCTTTGTTTAACAGATGCTTGAAGGCAGCATGCTCGTTAAGAGTCATCACCACTCCCTAATCTCAAGTACCCAGGGACACAAACACTCTGCCTAGGAAAACCAGAGACCTTTGTTCACTTGTTTATCTGCTGACCTTCCCTCTACTATTGTCCTATGACCCTGCCAAATTCCCCTCTGCGAGAAACACCCAAGAATGATCAATTAAAAAAAGAAAACACATGAACCAGAAATTGAGGCCTGGCTCTGCCATTTACACACTATGCAGCCTTAGGGAAGTCACTTCATCAATCTGAGCCTCAGTTTCCTCATCCATAAACTGGAAATAATAATAGCACTCCTTCAGAGCTATCCTGGAAGACAGTAGAGTATGGATGTTAACAGCATGGGGTCTGGCTGGGTGCAGTGGCTTAAGCCTGTAATCCCACCACTTTGGGAGGCTGAGGCAGGCGAGTCACCTAAGTTCAGAAGTTTGAGACCAGCCTGGCCAACATAGTGAAACCCCATCTCTACTAAAAATACAAAAATTAGCCAGGCGTGATGCCGTGCACCTGTAGTCCCACCTACTTGGGAAGCTAAGGCAGGAGAGTGCTTAAACCTGGGAGGCGGAGGTTGCAGTGAGCCGAGATCTTGCCACTGCACTCCAGCCTGGGCAACAGAGTGAGACTCCATCTTAAAAAGAAAAAAAAAAAAAAGAGCATGGACTCTGGAGCCAGAATGCTTGGTTCAGGTCTCAGCTCCATCATACATTAGTTATTTGATGTGGGGCCAGGCATGTTGACTCACACTTGTAATCCCAGCACTTTGGGAGGCTGAGGCGGGAGGATCACTTGAGCCCAGGAGTTCCAGACCAGCCCGGGCAACATGGTGAAACCCCACCTCTACAAAAAATACAAAAGTTACCCAGGCATGGTGGCACATGCCTATAGTCCCAGCTGCTGGGAGGGTTGAGGTGGGAGGATCACTTGAGCCAGGGAGGTGGAGACTGCAGTGAGCCATGATCACACCACTGCATTCAAGCCTAGGCTGCAACCTCGAGATTTTTTTTTTTTTTTGAGATCCTGTCTCAAAAAAAATTTTTTTTGGCCAGGTGCGGTGGCTCACGCCTGTAATCCCAGCACTTTGGGAGGCTGAGGCGGGCGGATCACAAGGTCAGGAGATTGAAACCATCCTGGCTAACACGGTGAAACCCTGTCTCTGATAAAAAAAAAATACAAAAAATTAGCCTGGCGTGGTGGCAGGAGCCTGTAGTCCCAGCTACTCGGGAGACTGAGGCAGGAGAATGGCGTGAGCCTGGGAGGCGGAGCTTGCAGTGAGCCGAGATCACGCCACTGCACTCCAGCCTGGATGACAGAGCAAGACTCCGTCGCAAAAAAAAAAAAAAAAAAATTAGCTGGGCGTGGTGGCGCATGCATGTAGTCCCAGCTACTCAGGAGGCTGAGGCAGGGGAATTGCTTGAACCCAGGAGGCGGAGGTACATTTTTTTAATAAATAAATAAAAATAAATACTTTTTTTTATTTGGGCAACTGTGCCTCAGTTTCTCCACCTGTGATTTGGTGATAATAAGAGTCCCTACCTCATAGACTAAATGAGATATTTTATGTGTAAGATAGAGCCTGGCAATACTAACTTCTGGATAAATGATACTTCTCATTAAATAGTACCAGAGGGTTGTCAGAAGCACTACATGACCATGAAAGCAACTAGCTCAGCGATAGGGGATCATAAATGTCTTATAAATGGCACCTGTTGTCTTTGCTGTCACTTCTTACTGAAGGACTGTGGGGAACAGGGCTGCAATTCCCGGGCCCCACAGGTTTCCTGGCCAGGCTGAGGGTCCTCCCATCACCTGTAGGCCCCTTACTTCATTCCCTGAAGCCCAACTTTCTAGAGCATCTTCTGATGTTCCGATGTACGTTATAGATTTAGTTTCTCTAAATCCACCCAAAATGCATTTACCAGTTGTCAACCACTTATCAGCAATTAAGCTTCCATTTTAGATGTCAAGACAGAAATACATTTTGCTGCAGAGTGGGGAGGTGTTCAGACAGGTTGTCAGACTCAAGTTCTTATTGTTCTGTTCGGTTTAGCAAATAATTCATAGACTTATACACTTATATACACTTCCATAGACTTAAAGCCAGAAGAGACCCTAGAGAGGTCCATTTTACAAAAGTGGAAATGGAGGCCCTGGAGATTACAGTGAATCAGGGACAGAGATAAGGGAGGACCATACTGCACGCTTTTATTGTTGCTGTTTGAGACAGAGTCTCTCTCTGTCACTCATACTGAAGTGCAGTTGTGTGATTGCAGCTCACTAGAGCCTTGACCTCCCTTTTTTTTTTTTTTTCCCCCAAGAAATGAGGTCTCACTGCTGGGCGCGGTGGCTCACACCTGTAATCCCAGCACTTTGGGAGTCCGAGGAGGGCGGATCTCGAGGTCAGGAGATCCAGACCATCCTGGCTAACACAGTGAAACCCCATCTCTACTTAAAATACAAAAAAATTAGCCAGGCGTGGTGGTGGACGCCTGTAGTCCCAGCTACTTGGGAGGCTGAGGCAGGAGAATGGCGTGAACCCAGGAGGCGGAGCTTGCAGTGAGCCGAGATTGCGCCACTGCACTCCAGCCTGGGCGACAGAGCTAGACTCTGTCTCAATTAAAAAAATAAAAAGAAAAAGAAATGAGGTCTCACTATGTTGCAGAGGCTGGTCTCAAACTCCTGGCTCAAGTGATCCTCCTGCCTTGGCCTCCCAAGTGCTGAGATTACAGGTGTGAGCCACTGCACCTGGCCTGCAGTTATTTTTTTAAGCTTAAACAAATTTGCAAAAATACCACACACATAAAGAAAGTTTACATAATATATCTTACTGTTTAGAAAACAATACTGTAATCCCCGAACCTGCCATCCAGTGCAAGAAATAGAATTGATACCAACACCTGTAAGGCCTCTAATGCTGTATCTGTTTAAATAAGGGGTCTGTACAGCCTGGGCAACATAGCAAAGCCCTGTCTCTACTAAAAATACAAAAAATTAGCCAGGTGTGGTGGCACACTCCTGTAATCCTAGCTACTCAGGAGGCAGAGGTTGCAGTGAGCTGAGATCATACCATTGCACTCTGGCCTGGGTGACAGAGTGAAACCCTATCTCAAAAATTAAAATAAATAAATAAGTAAATAAATAAATAAATGGGTCTGCAGAGGGGTCAGCTGCCCATAGAACACAGAAAGAATCCATTAAAAGAGATTCTTCTAGAAAGAAACCCATGAAGGTAGTTCTGGGTTCTCTGTTCTTCATTTTTCCTCTATGGTGGAGCCTAGACTGTAAGCTTGAATATTCCATCATCATTTGCTTTTTCTTTTTTTTTTTCTTGAGACAGGGTCTTGCTCTGTCATCCAGGCTAGAGTGCAGTGGCATGATCACTGCTCACTGCAGCCTTGACCTCCTGGGCTCAAGCAATCTTCCCACCTCAGACTCCCAAGTAGCTGGGACTACAGGCACATGCCACCACACTCAGCTAATTTTTGTATTTTTTGTAGAGATGAGGTCTCACTATGTTGCAATGCTAGAGACAGGGTTTTGCCATGTTGCCCAGGCAGGTCTTGAACTCCTGGGCTGAAGCAATATGCTTGCCTTGGCCTCCCAAAGCGCTGGGATTACAGATGTGAGCCACCGTGCCTGGCATCATTTTCAAAACCAGACTTTTTCCTTGGTGATGGTTCTAGCCAAATGTTTTAGCTCCTCAGTGTCATCGTGGTTTCCCGCCATCAGGAAGCTGGTAGTCCTTCTCCCAACTGAAGCGGTCACCACATTTGATTTCCACTATCAGGAAATGAATATATCACTATTTTCATAACAGCTACCATGTATTGAGTGTGTGGTTGTTCTAGGCAGTAGGCTAAGCAGTTTCCATTTTATCACTTAGTTTTCACAAGAATCTTAGGAAATCACCATTAATAAACCAATTTTTCAAATGAAACTGATGCCTAAAGAGGTTTAAAAACTTTGAGTATGTGAGGATGGGGTAGAAGCAAGGATTGTCTTACTCTAGGGTCAGATCTGGGTTTTGTGGGGCCTGAAGCTTAGGCTACTGGGGGGGACCATCTTTAAGAAAATGATAAAAAAGGCCGGGCGCGGTGGCTCACGCCTGTAATCCCAGCACTTTGGGAGGCCGAGGCGGGTGGATCATGAGGTCAGGAGATCGAGACCATCCTGGCTAACATGGTAAAACCCCGTTTCTACTAAAAATACAACAAATTAGCCGAGCGTGGTGGCGGGCGCCTGTAGTCCCAGCTACTCGGGAGGCTGAGGCAGGAGAGTGCGGTGAACCCGGTAGGCGGAGCTTGCAGTGAGCTGAGATCGCGCCACTGCACTCCAGCCTGGGCGACAGAGCGAGACTCTGTATGAATTAAAAAAAAAAAAAAAGAAAAATGATTAAAAATTACAAATACAAATTTTGGCTGTGTGTGGTGACTCATGCCTGTAATCTCAGCACTTTGGCAGGTTCACTTGAGGCTAGGAGTTCAAGACCAGTCCGGGCAACACAGTGAGCCCCGACTCTACTTTGGGAGGCCAAGGCAGGCAGATCACGTGGTCAAGAAAGCGAGACTATCCTGGCCAACACGGCGAAACCCCGTCTCTACTAAAAATACAAAAATTAGCTGGGTGTGGTGGCGTGCGCCTGTAGTCCCAGCTACTCGCTTGAACTCAGCAACCAAGGAGAATCGCTTGAACTCAGGAGGCAGAGGTTGCAGTGAGCCGAGATCGCACCATTGCACTCCAGCCTGGTGACAGAGCGAGACTCCGTCTCAAAAAAAAAAAAAAAAAAAATTATCAGACATAGTAGTGGCTCCCGTCTGCAGTCCCAGCTACTTGGGAAGCTTAGGTGGAAGGATCCCTTGAGCCCAGGAATTGGAGGTTGCAATGAGCCATGGTTGAGCCACTGCACTCCAGCCTTGGGGTGACAGAGCAAGACCCCCTCTCTAAAAAAAAAAAAGCCACAAAAATACAAATTTTTATAAGAAAGTGCTGGAGTAAAAGGAGATAATGTGTGACTGAGTGATCTTAACCAATTGCAGTTAAAAAATGTTTTTAACAAATTTTACAAAAAACGTTCACTCTGTGAACACATCATTCATTAGGACCTCCCTCAGCTCTTTGGAAGGAGCTAATAGTGTAAATGAAGGGTTTTGAGGCCACGACTTCATTAGCAACTCAATAAATCCACCTGTGCCTCTGCTGGAGCCGTGGTTTTCCACAAAGAATTGACAGGCCTAAAAGGTCAATAGTGCCTTGGCTGAGAAAGCTTGTGCTCCAGGGAGGAAACCTGAAGAAAGAGGTTGCCAAACTCTTCTTGGGTGGTCATTGATTGCACCCAAATTGCATTTTATGAGACTCTCAGATCCATTATCTCTCTTGGTCTTGGGAAGACAGTAGAGGGAGTTGGGATGGATTGTTCAGCTCTTTGCATTACAAATGTATCCTGGGTGACAGAGAGGGTGTCCTGCAGTTGCTCCCATGCTCCCTGACTCTCTTCTCTCTTCTCATTGTTGTCTCTCTTTAGGCCAGCCCTGTCCAATGCAAAGGCGAGCCCTGGTTCCATGGGTGAGGAAGGGATCTCTGGGTGCTTCCAGGCTGAACCTCTAGTCTGGTAAACATCTGAAAGCAAACACTCCTCTCCCATGAGAATTGGTCTCCTGGAGAGCATGCCTTTCTGAGTGACAAGTTAGTATTCTTCTGTTACCCTGATTTGTATCCTATTTGCTGTTAGATAGCTCTGGTCTTATTATGCAAAAGGTGCCTTTCCCCCGTCTTGCCCTGAATTGTATTACAAAGCTTCCTCAAATTAGGAAACATTAAAAGGTGCCCAGCTCAGCCCAAGCTTCTCCCCTCATCTTGGAGGAGGAAAGGGGAGCTGTTTCAGTTTATGCTGCCATATAAAGGGCTGTTGTTTGTTTAGGTTGCTGTATTCCATCCCTGGCACTGTCTCCAAGCATGATACTATGACGAAGCTTGTTTTTGTTTTGTTTTGTTTTGTTTTTTACAGCTCTTTTCTCTTTTCCTTCCTTCCTTCCTTTTTTTTTTTTTTTTTAACGAGGTCTTGCTTCATTGCTCAGGCTGGAGTGCAGTGGCATGATTATGGCAGCCTCAACCTCCAGGATCAAGTGGTCCTCCTACCTCAGCCTCCCAAGTAGCTGGGACCACAGACATAGGCTACCACGCCCAATTAATTGAAAAAATTTTTTTCAGCCTGGCCAACATGGTGAAACCCCATCTCTACCAAAAAGCACAAAAATTAGCCAGGCATGGTGGCAAGTGCCTGTAGTCCAAGTTACTCAGGAGGCTGAGGCAGGAGAATCGCTTGAACCTGGGAGGCAAAAGTTGCAGTGAGCTGAGATCACGCCACTGCCCTCCAGCCTAGGCGACAGACTGAGACCCTGTCTCAAAAAAATAAATAAAAATTTTATTTATTTATTTATTTATTTATTTTTTGTAGAGATTGGATCTCACTATGTTGTTCAGGCTGGTCTCGAATTCCTGGGCTCAAGCTATCCTCCTGCTTTGGCTTCTCAAAGTGTTAGGATTATAGGCGTGAGCCTCCGGGCCTGGCCTGATGAAGCTTCTTATTTAATTTTTGCTGCACTTAGGATGAATGAAGTGTGGAACCCTGAAAGACTGATTTAGGGAAAATCTATACACCCTGCCCCTAGCAGGTGTCTCTCTGCAGGTGATGGCTGAGGAATGCCGAAAACATGAAAGCCATGCCCTCCTTCCCCTCAAGGGGAGCTTGCAGATGAATTAGGGAAGGAGAGCTTGTGACAGATTTGGTAACACCTCTCTGACTTCTACCAACAGGTGCAAATTAACCTAATTCCCAAGCCACTATCAAAGTAACATCAAGGTGAAAATAATATACTTGGCCTAGGTGGTGAAGTGGTAGCAGTGATACTTCCTTGATCTGCACGTTTGGACTTGCCCATGTGGGGAGTTATCCAAATTATCCAAAAAAACTGAATCTTAACCCATCTTAACCCATTCTTTAAGACAATTTTCTTGATTTTTAATTAATTTTTTTTTAGATGGGGTCTTGCTCTGTTGCCCAAGCTGGGGTGCAGTGGCACAATCTCCGCTCACTGCAGGCTCCGCCTCCTGGGTTCAAGTGATTCTCCTGCCTCAGCCTCCTGAGTAGCTGGGATTACAGGTGCACATCACCACGCCTGGCTAATTTTTGTATTTTTAGTAGAGATGGGGTTTCACCATGTTAGCCAGGCTGGTCTCGAACTCTTGACTTCAAGTGATCCACCTGCTTTGGCCTCTCAAATGCTGGGATTACAAAGCATGAGCCACCACACCCAGCCCAATTTTTATTTTAGATGGAAGTCTTTCTTAAAAGGTTCATGTGCCGCAGCTCTACTGGAAAAGGAAGACGCTGAGTATGCAGTGAAAATCTCTAGACTTTCATCCTGTAAGCTAAGAATCAAAAGTCCCAAATTAAAATCCTAATTTTGCTCTCAAGACAATGCAATTGTTGAGTCCAGGAGTTCTGAGCTGTAGCATACTATGCCAGAATCCTCAGATGGGTTTCGCTATGTTGGCCAGGTTGGTCTCAAACTCCTGGCCTCAAGCAATCTGCCTGCCTCGGTCTCCCAAAGTGCTGGGATTATAGGCATGAGCCACCGCACCCGGCCTGTTGTTTTTGAGACAGGGTCTTGTTCTGTTGCCCAGGCTGGCGTGCAGTGGCACTATCATGGCTCACTGTAGCCTCAGCCCCCTGGGCTCAAGTGATTCTCCTGCCTCAGCCTCTTCAGTAGAAATTTTTTTTTAATTTTAATTTTTTTTGGTCTTGCTCTGTTGCTCAGGCTGGAGTGCAGTGGCGCAATCTCAGCTCACTGCGAGCTCCGCCTCCCGGGTTCACGCCATTCTCCTGCCTCAGCCTCCTGAGCAGCTGGGACTACAGCCGCCCACAACCACACCTGGCTAATTTTTTGTATTTTTAGTAGAGATGGGGTTTCACCATGTTAGCCAGGAGGGTCTCGATCTCCTGACCTCGTGATCTGCCCGCCTCGGCCTCCCAAAGTGCTGGGATTACAGGCATGAGCCACTGCACCCAGCCGAGTAGAAATTTTTTGTCTTGGCCTAAGCAGCAATGAGAAACCATGAGTCTATGATGGCAGAGGTACAGGGTCTTAGACTATGAGATTCAGAAGGCATCGTCAGGACTGTCTAAAACATTCTCTTCTCCCCATCTTTCACATCTTTTGAAATGAAGGCCCAGAAAGGGGCCCAGATGGATTGGGATTCATGAATCTTCAAGCATACACATTTTGGACTGCCCTCTTTAAAGAATGCAAAGTTACCAATACAGAATTAGGTACAGGGCCTTAAGCAGCCCATGCAAATGAGGGCTTGGGTTACAAGCTCACCCTTCTGATGGGGGAATGAATGGGATCTATTTTGGAAAAGAGTGAGCATGGGGCCTGGGGAACGTGTGAAAGGGGATGCCCATCCTCCAATTTGTACCTACTATAAGACAGAACAAACAGAGGAACATAAAGCCGGGGTGCTTTTTAGAGACCACAGAGATTAGAAGGGCTTCTGAGTGGCAAAGAATGATTGAGGTTATAGGACAGTGTAAGGATTTAGGGGATCAGTGACAAAGCTCCCATTTTTGATCCCCTTTCCAGCAAAAGTGATCCAGAATCTGAATGGAAAGGAATCTGGAGATCATCTAGTCCCAACTCCTATATAACACAGTTCGTCTTCAGTATTACCCAAAATGTGTATAGTCTGTGCTTGAACACCGTGTGTCACAGAGAATTCACTGACTCACATCACTCCTCGCCATTGTGCATCAGCTTCAGATATTAAAACGCCTTCCCTTGAACCAAACTGATCTTCTGGCAACTTCCACCAGCTGGGGTAAGTTTGGACTTTTGGGGCCATGGTTAAGTCAATTCCCTTTTCCCCATGGCAATACTTCATCAATAAACTATGGGTTTTTTGCTTTTTTGTTCTTGTTGTTTTTGAGACAGGGTCTCACTCTGCCGCCCAGGCTGGAGTGCAGTGGCACAATCTCGGCTTACTGCAGCCTCTGCCTCCCAGGCTCAGGTGATCCTCCCACCTCAGCCTCAGTCCCAGTAGCTGGGACTACAGGCGTGCACCACCATGCCTGTTAGTTTTTGAATTTTTGGTGGAGATGAGGTTTCACCATGTTGCCCATGGCTGGTCTTGAACTCCTGGACTCAAGCAATCTGCTTGCCTCGGCCTTCCAAAGTGCTGGGATTACAGGTGTTAGCCACTGCGCCTGGCCTAATAAAATAAACTATGTTCTATTAGTGCCTGCTTCCTGGGGATACTGTGAGGACTAAATGAGGACCTGCCCATAGTGAGGACTCAGGAAATGTTCGCAATGATTACATAATTTGAATAGCATTCATGGGCTCCATCAACCCTGGCTAGTTGCTACCCCCTGGTAATAATAACAGCGAATATTTATTGAAGGCTTACTGAGAGGCCTTGTACCAACTCTCCTCTATGTAGTCCTCAAAACAACTCTGTAATTTGGATTATGCCCACAGAGAAGATACATCACTTGTCCAAGATGACATTATGGCAAAACTAAGGCAGGAACTGGGCTGTTTGATTCCAAGCCCATGTACTTTGCCTCATCTTTTTTTTTTTTTTTTTGTAAGCGATAGGGGTCTCACTCTGTGGTCCAGCCTGGGGTCTAGTGTTGCAATCACAGTTCATTGTATCCTCGAACTCCTGGGTTCAAGGGATCCTCCTTCCTTAGCCTCGCAAGTAGCTGGGAATGCAGACGTGCATCACCATGCCAGGCTAATTCTTTTTTTTTTTTTTTTGGTAGCGATGGGGTCTCCTTATGTTGCCCAGACTCGTCTTGAACTCCTGGCCTCAAGCAATCCACCTGCCTTGGCCTCCCAAAGTGCTGGGATTACAGGTGTGAGCCACTGTGCCTGACCTGCCTCATCTTTAAAAAAAGTTTTAAAATTAATTTTAAATTTAAAAAAATTGCCTCATATTTTGTGCACTCAAGTCTCAGACTATTGCCACTCACCTCTGGGCAGGTTCCAATGGGAAGCGCTCTTCTGTGCGACTCCTCGTGCAGGTCCTTGGGTCCTGGTGTTGGCCACCATAACAGGCCATAGCAGAATGATTTCTGTGGTATCCCTGGGAGCTTTGGCAATTTCAGAGCCAAAGGAGATGCCAGACTGCCTGGCTCCAAAGGGGCCGAGACTGGGTCTCAACTGTCTTTCCTCATTGGATAGCCTACATTAAAGGATCATTTTCAAAAAAGAGTAAAATCACGATTCTCATTGGGATATTAAAAAAACACATGTTAAAGATTTTATTTATTCTTTTTTTAAATTATTTATTTATTTTTTTGAGATGGAGTTTTGCTCTTGTTGCCCAGGCTGGAGTACAGTGGCCCAGTCTCAGCTCACTGCAACCTCTGCCTCCTGGGTTCAAGCGATTCTCATGCCTCAGCCTCCCGAGTAGCTGGGATTACAGGCATGCGCCACCATGCCTGGCTAATTTTTTGTATTTTTAGTAGAGACAGGGTTTCCCCATGTTGGCCAGGCTGATCCGCCCACCTTGGCCTCCCAAAGTGCTGGAATTACAGGCTTGAGCCACCGAGCCCAACCCCTAATTCATTATTAATGAGGGAGCCAGTAAGCTGTTACAACCAGTTCACAGGAGAATTCAAAGAACAGACACATTTTTTGATCAAAAATATTCACATAAATGTGCAAATGGAAGCAAAATTGGCTTCTTCCGCAGTCAGGGAGAGAAGTTAATGTAACCTCTGCTAGACAGAATTTGCACGTCAATAGACAGGAATTATTTTACCTTGCTATGAGGTTTTTTACAATTTATAGAGTTGTGAAATAGCTCAAAAGCAATGAGAGGCTAGAATCAGATAACCTGGAAGGGTGTGTGCTAGACCAGGGATCAGCAAACTTTTACTGTAAAGGGCCAGATAGTAGATATTTTGTGGACCATATAATTTTTGTTTGAACTATTTAATTCTGTCCTTGTACTATAAAACAACCACAGATAATACATAAACACATGAGCATGGCTGTATTCCAATAAAACTTTATTTGTCGACACTGAAATTTGAATTTTATACCTTTTTTTTTTTTTTTTTGAGACAGAGTCTCACTCTGTCGCCCAGGCTGGAGTGCAGTGGTGCCATCTTGGCTCACTGCAAGCTCTGCCTCCTGGGTACACGCCATTCTCCTGCCTCAGCCTCCCAAGTAGCTCGGACTACACGCGCCCGCCACCACGCCCAGCTAATTTCTTTTTTTGTATTTTTAGTAGAGATGGGGTTTCACCATGTTAGCCAGGATGGTCTCGATCTCCTGACCTCGTGATCTGCCTGCCTCAGCCTCCCAAAGTGCTGGGATTACAGGCGTGAGCCACCGCGCCCAGCCTGAATTTTATACAATTTTTACATCACACAATATTGTTGTTCTAATTTTCTTAAGCATTTAAAAATGTAAAATCCATTCATAGGATGAATACAAAAACACGTGGCTGCTGGATTTACCCCATAGGAAGCAGTTTGCCAACTACTGCTCTAGACAATGCAATTTTCCCTTAAAGCACAAATTTTCCCTAGACTCTATGGTAGGCAGAATAATGATTCCCTAAAGATGCCTATATCTTTTTTTTTTTTTTAAGCAAAGTCTCGCTTTGTCGCCCAGGCTGGAGTGCAGTGGCGCAATCTTGGCTCACTGCAACCTCCGCCTCCTGGGTTCAAGTGATTCTCCTCCTTAGCCTCTGGAGTAGCTGGGATTACAGGCACACGCCACCAAGCCTGGCTAATTTTTGTTTCACCATGTTGGCCAGGCTGGTCGGAAACTCCTGACCTGAAGTGATCCGCCCGCCTTGGCCTCCCAAAGTGCTGGGATTACAGCCGTGAGCCACCGCACCTGGCCAAAGATGCCTGTATCTTAACCCTGGAATCTGTGAATATGTTATTAGGTTGGTGCAAAAGTAATTGCAATTTCTGCAATTAAAAATAAAGGGGGAGGGGCAAAAACCGAAATTACTTTTGCACCAACCTAGTACGTTACATGGCAGGAGATAATTCAAGTTGTTCACCAGATGACCTTGAGATGAGGTGTTACCCTGGGTGGAATGAGCCAAATGTAATCCAAAGGGTGCTTAAATGGGAAAGAGGGAGGCTTAGCAGTCAGAACAGAGAGATGGATAGAATCATGAGAAAGACTTGACTATCTATTGCTGGCTTGGAAGTTGGAAGGGGACCATGAGCCAAGGAATGCAGGACACCTCTAGAAGCTGGAAACGACAAGGAAATGGCCTCTCCCCTGGAGCCTCTGGAAGGAAAATCCTTCTGACACCTTGATTTTAGCCCAGGGAGAGCCATTTTGGGCTTTTTAATTTTTTATTTATTATTTTTTTGAGACAGAGCCTCACTCTGTCACCCAGGCTGCAGTGCAGTGGCACAATCTGGATTCACTGCAACCTCCGCCTCCCAGGTTTAAGCAATTCTCTCCTCAGCCTCCCCAACAGGTGGGATTACAGGCACGTGTCACCACGCCCGGCTAATTTTTTGTATTTTTAGTAGAGATGGGGTTTCATTATCTTGGCCAGGCTGGTCTTGAACTCCTGACCTTGTGATCCACCAGCCTCGACCTCCCAAAGTGCTGGGATTACAGGTGTAAGCCACCATGCCCGGCCCCCCCTTTTTTTTTTTTGAACTTAAAAAATTTTTTGTGGGTACCTAGTAGGTATATATATTTACAGTGTACATGAAATATTTCAATACAGACATATGGAGCATAATAATGACATCAGGGTGGGCCAGGCATGGTGGTTCACACCTGTAATCTCAGCACTTTGGGAAGCTGCGGTGGGTGAATCATCTGAGATCAGGAGTTCAAGACCAGCCTGACAAACATGGTGACACCCCAACTCTACTAAAAATACAAAAATTAGCCGGGTGTGGTGGTGTGCGCCTGTAGTCCCAGCTACTTGGGAGGCTGAGGCAGGAGAATCACTTGAACCCGGGAGGCAGAGGTTGCAGTGAGCCGAGATCGGCCCATTGCACCCCAGTCTGGGCAAGAAGAGCAAAATTCCGCCTCAATAATAATAATAATAACACCAGGGTAAATGGGGTATCCAATATCTCAAGCATTTGTCCTTTCTTTGTATTACAAACAATCCAATTATTATCTTTCAATTATTATTTTTTCTTTCTTTCTTGTTATATCCACCTGAATTTAAATCTTTCAGTTATTTTTAAATGTACAATAAATTATTGTTGGCTGTAGTCACCCTGTTGTGTTGTCAAATACTAGATCTTATTCATTCTAACTACATTTTTATACCCATTTACCATCCCCATTTATCATCCTCCCCATTACCCTTCCCAGCCTCTGGGAGTTCAATTAATTTTTTTTAGCTCCCAGAAATAAATAATAACATGTGAAGTTTGTTTTTCTGTGCCTGGCTTCTATCACTTAACATAATGACCTCCAGTTCCATCCCTGTTGTTGTAAATGACAGGATCTCATTCTTTTTATGGACAAATAGTACTTCATTGTGTGTATGTACCATACTTTATTTATCCATTCATCTGTTGATGGACACTTAGGTTGCTTCTAAATCTTGGCTACTGTGGATAGTGCTAACATGGAAGTATAGCTACCTCTTTGATATATTGATTTCCTTTCTTTTCTTTTCTTTTTCTTTTTCTTTTTTTTTTTTGAGACAGAGTCGCGCTGTGTCTCCAGGCTGGAGTGCAGTGGCTCGATCTCAGCTCACTGCAACCTCCGCCTCCCAGGTTCAACTGATTCTCCTGCCTCAGCCTCCCAAGTAGCTGGGACTACAGGCGTATGCCACCACGCCTGGCTAATTTTTTGTATTTTTAGTAGAGACGGGGTTTCACCGTGTTAGCCAGGATGGTCTCGCTCTCCGGACCTCGTGATCCGCCCCTCTCAGCCTCCCAAAGTGCTGGGATTACAGGCATGAGCCACTGCGCCCAGTCTTGATTTCCTTTCTTTTGGGCATATACCTAGCAGTGAGACTGCTGGATCATATGGTAGCTGTATTTTTAGTTTTTTGAAGAACCTCCAAACTGTTCTTCATAGTGGTCGTACTAATTTATATTTCCACCAAGAGTGCGTGAGGTTTCCCTTTCTCCACATCCTCACCAGCACAAGTTATTCCCTGTCTTTTGGATAAAAGCCATTTTAACTGGGGTGAGATGATATCTCCTAGTAGTTTTGATTTGCATTTCTCTGATGGTCAGTGATGTTGAGCACCTTTTCGTGTATCTGTTGGCCATTTGTACAACTTCTTTTCAGAAATGTCTACTCAGATCTTTTGTCCATTTTTAAATTGGATTATTAGATTTTTTTCCTATTGAGTTGTCTGAGCTTCTTAATATATTCTGGTTATTAATTCCTTGCTATTTTGGACATCTGATCTCCAGAACTATAGGATAATAAATTTGTGTTAAGTCACTGAGTTTGTGATAATTTATGACAGCAGCAATAGGAAATTAATACACCCCTTGTGATAAAAAAAATCTTGAAAAATGATGTTTCTGATCACAAAATAAGGCTGGTCTTATTAGGTCTGACCTGATTATATACATAGGTGCAACAAGAACATTAATTTATCACACAGACCTTAAAAATTTGCTGGAAATGGGCCAGGCACGGTGGCTCACGCCTGTAATCCCAGCATTTTCGGAGGCTGAGGCAGGTGAATCACCTGACGTCAGAAGACCAACCTGGCCAACGTGGCAAAACCCTGTCTCTATATAAATACAAAAATTAGCCAGGCGTGGTGGCAGGTGCCTGTAATCCCAGCTACTTGGGAGGCTGAGGCAGGAGAATTTCTTGGACCTGGGAGGCGGAGGTTGCAGTGAGCCGAGATCGCACCACCACACTCCAGCATGGGCGACACAGTCAGACCCCATCTCAAAAAAAAAAAAAAAAAAAGATGGTGGCCAGACGCTGTGGCTCAAGCCTGTAATCCCAACACTTTGGAAGGCCGAGGCAGGTGTATCACGAGGTCAGGAGTTTGAGACCAGCCTGGCCAATATGGTGAAACCCCATCTCTACTAAAAATACAAAAATTAGCCGGGTGTGGTGGCTCATGCCTGTAATCTCAGCTACTCGGGAGGCTGAGGCAGGAGAAGAGCTTGAACCCAGGAGGCGGAGGTTGCAGCAAGTTGAGATCACACCACTGCACTCCGGCCTGGGCAACAGAGCAAGACTCTGTCTTAAAAAAAAAAAAAAAATTGCTGGAAATTTTCAGAAGGAATCTCAGACTGGACTTTACGTTTTGCTGAATTCCTGTTTACTTGAGCAAATATCTAAGATTTGGGCGCCTGCCAAGAAGTGGCCTTCCTTACTCATCTGTAAGCTGTGCCCCAGGACCATTTTTCTGAGAGGGCTTTGAAAGTGCTGGCTCCATGAAAGCCAAATGTGTTTCCTCAGAAAGACTGGTCATACTTGATTAAATAAGCAACATTTTCAAATATGACAAGGCAAGGCCTTGGTTGCAAAGCCAATTTTTCCAATTATAGTCTGGTGAAAAGGACATTTATAACAAACCTATGCAAATAACTATACTGCCATTCAGCAAAGACCCAGTAAGAGTTTCTGGAAGAGGAGGAGGAGATGGGCCTATGAGAATGAGATATTTTTATTTTTACTTACATATTCATTTTTTAGACACAGAGTGTTGATTCTGTCATCCAGGCTGGAGTGCAGTGGCGTAATCATAGCTCACTATAACCTCGAACTGGGCTCAGGCAATCCTCCTGCCTCAGCCTCCCGAGTAGCTAGGACTACAGGCACATACCATTACATCCATCTAATTTTCAAAAAATTTTTGTAGAGACGAAGTTTTGCTGTGTTGCCGGGTGGTCTCAAACTCCTGGACTCAAGCAACCCTCCTGCTTCAGCCTCCCAAAGTGCTGGGATTACAGGCTTGAGCCACCGCGCCCAGCCTGGAATGAAATATTTTAAAATGGTATCTTAGGCTGACATTTTGATTTTATGATTAGCCATCATTTCTCCCACTACCTTCATGCATTGCCCCGCCCTCAGCTCCAGGGCTGAAACAACTCAGCAGCTCAAGCAGCATTTTTCCTTCTTTTTTCTAATAAGGATACGCCTATCCTCATTCCTTACACTGAAATTCACTGCTGAGTGGCTGTGCTATTTTTCTTGTTATTTTAACACATTTCAGTATATAGGGTGTTTTTGTTATTGAAAATTGCCCAAAGTGATTTTCCTACTAGTTATTTCTACCTTCCAGTAACCTAAATTCTACCTTTTCAATTTGGACCCATTACCTCTTTGAAAACCCAACTTGGAGACTATATGGTTCATGTAAACTTGTTTTTGAGGCAAAGGGATGACCAGAAATCTAGGACAATTGGCATCAAAATAATTAACAATAGCAATGGATTACAAACCACAGAATAAAATACAAGTCCATGAGTCCATACTGACATAAGTGAATGGGGAGAAGGGAAAGCTCTTCCTTACAGTAGATTGACAGCTAATAAATACAAAAGGAATGATGTTAAAACCAGTAGGTGCAAGTTTAATGAGGAACATAGTCTCAAAGAATATCCTCACTAATTGGCCGGGTGTGGTGACTCACGCCTGGAATCCCAGCACTTTGGAAGGCCGAGTCGGACAGATCACTTGAGGCCAAGAGTTCGAGACCAGCCTGGGCAGCATAGCAAAACCCCATCTCTACTGAGGCGGCAGGATTGCTTGAACCTTCGAGGCAGAGGTTGCAGTGAGCTGAGATGGGGCCTCTGCACTCCAGCCTGGAGGACAGAGCCAGACTCCATCTCAAAACAAAGAAACAAACAAAAACACAAAGAAAGGCTGAAAGATGATTTCAGATTAAAGGAGACTAAGAGCAGTGTATGATCCTGACTTCGATGCAAGATTGGGAAAAAATTGCTATAAATGACATTACTGGGACAGTGGATGAAATTTGAAAATGGGCAATGAGCTGGATGTGGTGGCTCACACCTGTAATCCCAACACTTTCAGAGGCTAAGGTGGGCAGATCGCTTGAGGCCAGGAGATCAAAACCAGCCTGGGCAACAAAGTGAGATGGCATCTCTACATAAAATTAAAAATTTGCTGGGCGTGGAGGCGCGTGCCTGAGGTCCCAGCTACTTGGGGGGCTGAGGTGGGAGGATCGTTTGAGCCCAAGAGGTGGAGGCTGCAGTGATCTATGATCACCCCACTGCACTCCAGCCTGGGCAATAGAGCAAGACCAGGAAAGAAAATGGGCTATGGGAGGTTGTGCCATTGCACTCCAGCTTGGGCAACAAGAGTGAAACTGTCTCAAAAAAAAACAAAAAACAAAAAGGTGGGGGGGCTATGGATTAGATAATTCTATTGTATCAATGTTCGATTTTCTGATATTGACAACTGTAAGATAACGTCCTCACTTTTAAAAGACACACTTGAAATATTTATGGGTACAGGTACACAATGTTTCCAATTTACTCAGAAGTTTTAGGAACACACAAGCACATGCACACACACACACACACACACACACAGAGGAAATGATAAATAATGTAGACAATTGGTGAATCTGGGTAGAGGGTATAGGAAGTTCCTTGTATCATTCTTGCAACTTTTCCATAAGTTTGAAATTATATAAAAATAAATTATAACAAAAATGGTTGACCAGAAACTTTTTTTTTTTTTTAGACAGAGTCTTGCTCTGTCACCCAGGCTGGAGTGCAGTGGCACGATCTCTGCTCACTGCAAGCTCTGCCTCCCGGGTTCATGCCATTCTCCTGCCTCAGCCTCCCGAGTAGCTGGGACCACAGGCACCTGCCACCACGCCCGGCTAATTTTTTGTATTTTTAGTAGAGACGGGGTTTCACCGTGTTAGCCAGGATGGTCTGGATCTCCTGACCTCGTGATCCGCCCTCCTCAGCCTCCCAAAGTGCTGGGATTACAAGCTTGAGCCACTGTGCCCGGCCAACCAGAAACTTTTAATTTCACCCCACAGTGCTAAAAATATTCCTAAACTATGAGTCTACTTTCTTGGTTTGGTAAACACTCTCTAAGAAACATAACCGTAGCTCTCTGAAATAATTAAGAAATTCTTCAAGATCCTAAATCTTCAATAACCATTTATGCATGATGAGAAAAAGTTAGTAAATTTAATTTTCCATATAACCAAAACTTATTCCTTTAAGTCATTCTTTTAGCAAGTGTGTGGGAAACTTCTATGTACCAGATACACTCTAGGTGTTGATCCCTGCACTTGTGGAGTTTATATCTAGCAGAGAGAGAGAGACAACAATAAATGTAATTAATAAGTAAATTATATACTGTAGGATAAAAAATGATAAGTGCTGGAGAAGCAGCAGAGCAGATGATGATAAGTGCAAGGGCAAGGGAGGTCGGGCTGGGCTGCAATCTCAAATAGGGCCTTCTTGTGGAGAAGGCCTTTGAGTATAGGCTTGGAGGTGAGGGAGTGAGCTGTGCAGATACTCTGCCTAAAGGCTCTCCAGGCAGAGGGAACAGCCAGTGCAGAGACCCTGGGGTAGAAGTTGCCCAGAGTTTCAAGGAGCAGTAAGGAAGCCACTGTGGCTACAGTGAAGTGAAAAAGTAATATTTTAGCTCAAAATCCTCCACTGCCTTCCCATTTGTCTCAAAAATCCTCGCAGCAGGTTTTAAGGTCCTACAGACCTGATTTCACTACCTTTCTGATTTCACCTCTTACTTCTCTTTTAAGTTCATAAACATTTTTATTTATTAATATTGGAACAAAAATATCTTTTAAAAAATGCATTATTGGCTGGGTACGGTGGCTCACGCCTGTAATCCAGCACTTTGGGAGGCCGAGGTGGGCAGATCACCTGAGGTCAGGAGTTTGAGACCAGCCTGGCCAACATGGTGAAACCCTGTCTCTACTAAAAATACAAAAATTAGCTGGTCGTGGTGGTGCATGCCTGTGGTCCCAGCTACTCAGGAGGCTGAGGCATGAGAATTGCTTGAACCTGGGAGACGGAGGTTGCAGTGAGCCAGGAGCACACCACTGCACTCCAGCCTGGGCAATAGAGCAAGACTCAGTCTTTTTTTAAAAAAAAAAAAAAAAAAGCATTATTATCTTCTCAAACGTAAGAGTCACACTTTTTGGACCACAGGTGAATAATTCTGCAGACTATACCATAATGGCACTCATCATAGGTCCTCCTGAGGACTGAATCTGGATGAAGATGTTAGTAACTGTGAATGTGTGAGTTCTATGAAAGACACAGGAAAGTCCAGGGTTGTGAGTAGACTTTCCCCCCTCACTGCCAGTTTCTCATTTATAGGGTTTTCCCCCAACAAAATATGCAGGTATCATCTGTTTCAGAGAATCATACTTCAGATAATCCCCAAGGTCCCTTTCAGCTCTAGACTGACACCCCATTTTCAGGAAGAAGAAAGCAGCTCAGAAAGAATAAATGAATTGTGTAAGGGACACACCAGGAGAGCTAGGAAACAGGAAAACTTGGAGTCTATCTTAGCCACCAGAAACCACCTGCCCCCAGCCCCCAGCTTTCTCACTCAGCAGCTCATCACTGTATTCCAGAAGCTCCCCAGAGGACAAAAGCACAGAAGTTATCTCATCTGAAAATAAAACATTTTACCCTATTATTCTCCAGGGACAATTATGGAGCATTTCTTGCTATCATTCTGCAACTCCAAATAAGTTTAGGTTCCCATAGCAACACTCTGCTCTGGAAACTGGCATTGTTCCCCAGTCCATGTGGGAAGAAACAAGAGCTTCTCCTAGAACACTCACAGCAGGTGGGAGAGGCCATGGCATGGAGTGTGGAGACAGTTGCTGAGGACTTTGTCCAGCCAAAGATAAGGAACCTACTTTAGTCACCCGTGAGTGACTAATGCTTGATCATCCTGGATGGACCCCAACAAGGGAAGTCTGCCAAGAAAGTCTCCGCATTGCAGGAAGCATTGAGCCCAAGCAAGAAATTAAGACCCTAAGCTCCATCGAGTCAAAGAAACGTAGACTAAACTTTGCTAAAGTACACAGTGTTTTCATAGCAAAGGTGTTGCAAACACAAAGGTTTAGTTGGTAGACAAATTTAGAGGCCGATCACATGCTGAATGATTTGGGGCTTGTGTACTGATGTCTATAACTTACTCTAGAAGAAAACTGTTCCTCTATTCACAACGCTTCTGACACCAAATGTAAGGGTTTTTTTTTTTTCCACACTAATAATCAATTCCCCAAATCTCTGGACTCTAACTGAGTGTCCAGAGATTCAGTTCAGTTCTGACACTGACTGCCCAGAGTGGGCGCAGACCCCACAGGTTAAGGGCTCAGTCCTGCAGCACTACCCCCAGTTGCAAGGCCTGGCCTCCTCCTATATTTCTGATGGAGCAGCTATAAATTGGGAGTTTCCATAACCCCCTTCATAGGTTCAATAATTTGCTAGAACAGCTCACAGAAATCAGGGAAACTCTTCAGTAGCTTTTTTTTTTTTTTTTAAGATGGAGTCTCATTTTGTCACCCAGGCTGGAGTGCAGTGGTGCTATCTCAACTAATTGCAACCTCCGCCTCCTGGGTTCAAGCAATTCTCCTGCCTCAGCCTCCCGAGTAGCTGGGACTACAGGCGTGTGCCACCAAGCCCGGATAATTTTAGTATTTTTAGTAAAGACAGGGTTTCCCCATGTTGGTCAGGCTGGTCTTGAACTCCTGACATCAGGTGATCTGCCTGCCTCAGCCTCCCAAAGTGCTGGGATTACAGGTGTGAGCCATGGCGCCCAGCCAACACTTTAGTTTTTATAGAGGATACAACTCAAGAACAGCCAAATAGAAGAGATGCACAGGGCAGGGTAGGATATGAGGGGCGGAGCCTCCCTGTCTTCTCCAGCGGTGCCACCTCCCAGCACCCGGTTGTGCTCACCAACCCAGAAGCTCATCAGATCTCATTGATAAGTTTTTATAGAGCTTAATCTCTGGCTCCCTCTTCCCTTCCTGGAGGTTTGTGGTTGGGGCTAAAAGTTCCAACCCTCTAATCATTTTTTTTTTTTTTTTTTTTTGGTAGAGCCAGGGTCTCACTATGTTGCCCAGGCTGATCTTGAGCTCCTCATCTCAATCAATCCTCCTGCTTTGGCATCCCAAAGTGCTGGGATTACAGGAATGAGTAACCTCACCTGTCCCATCCCGAGACTAAATTTAGAGTCCCTACAGTAAGTCACCTCATTAGCATAAACTGAGGTGTATAAGGAGGGTCCTTACGAATAACAAAATACACTCTTACCAGGAAATTCTCAGGGTTTTAGGAGTTCTGTGCCAAGAACCTGAGCAAAACCAAATATATCTCATCATACCACATTTATTTTGAGATGGATCACAGGAACATTTTCAGAGGGGTATAAACCAAAGCAACTCCATCTTGAATAGGAGCTGGGTAAAATAAGGCTGAGACCTACTGGACTGCATTTCCAGTGGACGGTGAAAGCGTTTTAAGTCGCGGGATGAGACAGGAGGTCAGCACAAAATATAGGTCATAAAGACCTTGCTCATAAAACAGGTTGCAGTAAAGAAGACGGCCAAAACCCACCAAAAACAAGATGGCCATGAGAGTGACCTCTAGTCATCCTCACTGCTACATTCCCACCAGCGCCATGAAAATTTACAAATGCCGTGGCAACGTCAGGACTCTATATGGTCTAAAAAGAGGAGACATAAATATTCCACCCCTTGTTTAGCATATCATCAAAAATAACAATAAAAATAAGCAAACAGCAGCCCTCGGGGCTGCTCTGTCTATGGAGTAGCCATTCTTTTATTCTTTTACTTTCTTAATAAACTTGCTTTCATTTTACTCTACGGACTCACCCTGAATTCTTTCTTGCATGAGATCCAAGAACCCTCTCTTGGGGTCTGGATCAGGACCCCTTTCCTGTAACAATATGACGAATTGATTGATGGGGGGATGGATAGACACATACTACAGTAAAATATTAATTGTAGCACCTAGGTGGTTGGTATAAGTAGTCACTGTAAATTTTTTTTAAGAGACGAGATCTCACTCTGTCACCAGGCTGGAGTGCAGTGGCCCAAAGATTTCGATTGAATTAGGTTGAAATTATTGAAATATATCTTGGTGTTAAAAGGAACCCAAAGGAATTTTTTTAAAATACCAAATTAAATGTCAGTTATTGTTTTGGAATTGGTTACTGTTACCCTATCATACATTTATGTAAAATAAGCACTTATAAAGGGCAGGGTAGAATTAAACAAGTGTATTTTAGCCAGGAAGTTGAATATCCCAAAAATGGAATCTCAAGCTGGCAGTTTTTGAATGCTAGAGCCTATCACTCAAGTCCCGGGGCTGGTGGAATATATAGTTAGAAAATTTAAGCTTGATGCTCCTTCTTTTACAGTGTTCAAAACAAGTGAGGGTCAGGGTAAAAACAAAAAAAATTTAAGGCCAGTCATGGTGGCTCCCACCTATAATTCCAGGTCTTTGGGAGGCTGAGGAAGGAGGATCAATTGAACCCAGGAGTTGGAGACCAGCCTGAGCAATATAGGGAAACCCATCTCTGCAAAAAATTAGAAGAGTTAAAACCACTGGTGTGTACAGTGTATTTGTGAAACGCAGAGTAGCTCACAAAAAAAATTTATCTTCAAATTTCAAAGATCATTTTATCTCAAAGATTAAAATTTGAAGATAAATTTTTTTGTGAGCTACTCTGCGTTTCACAAATACACTGTACACACCAGTGGTTTTAACTGTTCTAGAAAGCAACCAAGACTTATAACCTGTGAAAATGGGGCCACCTGGTGGTCAGAGTTAGGAACAGTCTAATAACGTCTTTCCAGCCGGGCGCGGTGGCTCATGCCTGTAATCCCAGCACTTTGGGAGGCCGAGGCGGGGAGATCACAAGGTCAGAATTTCGAGACCATTCTGGCCAACATGGTGAAACCCCGTCTCTACTAAAATGCAAAAAAGTAGCCGGACGTGGTGGCACGCGCCTGTAGTCCCAGCTACTCGGGATCCCAGCTGAGGTAGGGGAATCGCTTAAACCTGGGAGGCGGAGGTTGCAGTGAGCCGAGATCATGCCACTGCACTCCAGCCTGGCGACAGAGCAAGACTCCGCCTCAAAAAAATAGAAATAAAAATAACGTCTTCCCTACTAACTTCCTCCCATCCCACCCTACTCCTTTTCTGAACACTATCTGCTAGTCCCTTTTCCCACCATTTCTAGTTGTTCAACATTTATAAGGAACCTGATATACTAGAAAGCATAGGAGCTGGAGCCAGAACTGATCACCATACTTCTATTTCTTTATATCCCCCCATGCACCTAGTGTTAGTTTTGAACATAAGTTCTCACAAAGACTTGCTCATTATCCAAAAGACTCAGAGACCAAACTGTTTTCCATTCAGTGCCTTCATATACTTAAGATGATTGTTGTCATCTTGTCTAATATGGGAAATCCCAATATTAAATGATTTCTTTCTTAGGGTCTGAAAGATTTTCTCACAATCTTCTAATTGAAACAGGAAATACCCACAGGAGTGGTAACTTAAATGCAAAGGCTTGGGTTCTGATATTTCCTGTCAGTTTCCTAATTATGTGATTTAGGGAAATCACTCCCTTTGAGTCTGCTTTTCTTAGATGTCATCTGCTGCCCTCCTTCTAGGTTGTTGCTTTTTTTTTTTTTTTTGAGACAGAGCTCTGTTGTCCAGATCGGAGTGCAGTGGCGCAGCCTCAGCTCACTGCAACCTCCACCTCCTGGGTTCGAGTGATTCTTATGCCTCAGCCTCCAAATTTGCTGGGATTATGACATGCACCACCATGCCCAGCTAATTGTTGTATTTTTAGTAGAGATGGGGTTTTTGCCATGTTGACCAGGCTGTTCCTCAACTCCTGGTCTCAAGTGATCTGCCTACCTCAGCCTCTCAAAGTGCTGGGATTACAGGCGTCAGCCACTGCCTCTGGCCTGTGTTCTTATATCTCATGTCCTTCAGTAGCACCCATCTGTGGCATCAGCAGCTCAGGTCTGGCTTGACTCTCTTCTCTTCTTGCCTCAGCAGGGAGGGCTCTGCCTCAACTCCCTCCAGGGTACAGCAGCAGCTGTAACAGCAGGGAGTTAAGGCAGAAACAAATAGAATATGCCTTAAAAAGCTGATTAAAGACAAAATGAAAGCTGGTAATAAAAAAAAAACAAAACTGGCCAAGGCTATTAAAATTGTTGAATTCACTATGAGTTATTATAAACTCTATAAAGAAGTAAATCTAGTGAGTTAGCCATTAAATAAATAGGCTTGAAACCACCTCCCTGGGCCTTGATCTATAAAATGAAAACATAATAGCATCAATCTCATAGGGAAGTTCTAAGAATTAGATCTTTGCACAATGCCTGGTACTTGGAAAATACGTTACTATTGCTATTCCTAGGACCATCAGGCACTATGATAGTTTGCTTCAATAACCTTCACAATACCTCAAGGATGTTAATTATTTTGCTCAAGATCACAAAGTTCCGACATAGATCAGACTCCAAAGCCCATAAAACACACACACACACGCGCGCGCGCACACACCTTTATTGCGATACGTAACACCAATAAAGTGCATGATGTTGCTCAGAGGCCTGCAGAAAAAAAGTGCATGAAACATACAGATTCATGAATAATTAGAATGCAAACATCCATGGAATCACCATTTGACTAAAAATAAAAACTCTGGCCGTCCTGTGTCTCTTCCACCTTCCATACCACACGCCCGTCTCTCTCGTCTTTGAGTTCACCACTAGCCTGACGCGTGGAAATCAGTTTCTAGCTTTTCCTTTGTGTCCCATGTGGAATCATACTGTTATTTTTGTCTGGCTTCTTTGGTCAACATTATGTTCTTAAGATTCATCTACGTAGCATAAATTAACTTTGTATACAAATACACAATTATTGCATTATTTCTTGCAGGGTCTGGAGCAACATCTATAGTCAAACATACTGATATTTCTACAGGAAGCATGGTCAATAAAAACTACGTGTAGCCTCATGTTCAGGTTTTGCCTCCAAATGAATTTTGTCTCAAACATGAATCTATGTTTGGGACTTCCTGACACCTGAGATATCAACAATCAGTATATTCCTCTTCTAGTGGACTTTTAAGAAACTTAATTCCTGAAAAAAAATTCAATATTTAAAACAAACAAGTTTCAAAAATGTTCAAACCACCCTTTCTCACCTTGCAAACTTACATATTCTTGTCTCCTGTCTCAGAGGATGTTTTCTTTTCCAAGGTCAACTGGTTCTTCAGGGCCTTCCGTCTCATTCATTCCCATCTTCTCTGGAGCCTTGGTACAAGCCATCATCCCCTCTCCCGTATCTTCAACATTTCCATTGGCCCTCCCGGTTTTTTTTTTAAAGCCCCCCCACCCAGTCCCTTGTGGTTATCCTTATTTCCTCTCCTTCCTTTCTAAGCAAGTTTTAAAAAATTTTGAGCCAGGGTCTTGATCTGTTGCCCAGGCTGGAGTGCACTGGCACCATCACTGCTCACTGCGGCCTCAAATTCCTGAGCTCAAGCAACCCTCCCACCTCAGCTTCCTAAAGGGCTGGGATTACAGGCATGAGCCACCGTGCCCAGCCACAAGCTTCTTAAGAGTAGCCCTCACTACTCCACTTTCTCACCTCCCACTTACTGAATTCATTAGCATTCTGCTTTCCCCTACCATGGTTCCTTTGAAATTGCCTGGCAAAGGACCATCATATTGCAAAATACTGTGGACACATCTCAATCACCTTTCTCACACTCTGCTGTATTTGGTACTGTTAACCATTCCCCTCCTTGAATCTTCTCTCCTGTGGATTTATTGTTGTTGTTCCTGTTTCCCAACTTTCTTGGAGTTTTATCTATTGCCTTGACCTCTCACTGGAGCTTCAGAATACATGTACATGGACAGATTTCCAAATCCAACTTTCCAGTAACTCGAGACACATCTAATTGTGCTCAAATTTCTTAGTCACCTCTCTTGGGCCTAGGCCTGTTCCTGCATTCTTTATCAGTGAATAGTTACTATCTACCAGATAATCTAACTAGAAACCCGGTAGTGATGCCATACTCTTACCCTGCCTCCAAATCCAAATTACGTGCCTGTAATTCCAACTACTCTGGAGGCTGAGGCAGGAGAATCACTTGAACCTGGGAGGCGGAGGTTGCAGGGTTGCAGCAAGCTGAGATTGCACCATTGCACTCCAGCCTGGGCAACAAGGGCGAAACTCCGTCTCAAAAAAAAAAAGGCCGGGCGCGGTGGCTCACGCCTGTAATCCCAGTACTTTGGGAGGCCAAGGCGGGTGGATCACAAGGTCATGAGATCGAGACCATCCTGGCTAACACAGTGAAACCCCGTCTCTACTAAAAATACAAAAAAATTAGCTGGGCATTGTAGCGGGCGCCTGCAGTCCCAGCTACTCGGGAGGCTGAGGCAGGAGAACGGCATGAACCCGGGAGGTGTAGCTTGCAGTGAGCCAAGATCGCGCCACTGCACTCCAGCCTGGACGACAAAGCGAGACTCCATCTCAAAAAAAAAAAAAAAACAGTCTCACTATGTTGCTCAGGCTGAAGGGCAATGGCTATTCAGAGGCATGAACATTGCACACTACAGCCTCAAGCTCCCAGGCTCAAGCAATCCTTCTGCCTCAGCTTCCAAGTGCCACTGGTGTGCATGACCACACCTGGCTTTAGTTGAGCAAGTACTGAGCACCTTACATATGTTAAAACATACTACAATTCATCCTGGTGTAGATATTAAACTCCCTTTTAGAAAAATGTATGCATAGTGAATGATATATTTACATTTAGGTCAAAATGCTTCTGAAGAAATCACTATAGAGTATTAAAGTGTATCAGGAATCATAAATAGGTATTACTAAGTTTGCATGTCAAAGGTCAGCTTTATACACTTAATAGGAAAGTAGCCTCAAATTCATCCTAAGTTTTGGCAGCCAGCCTCCAAGGTGGCCCTGATGATTCTCACTTCATGGTATTCTAGCCCTGGGTAGTCTCCTCCCATACTGAAGAGGGTTGACCTGTGTGGTCAATGAGATACTGTGGAAATGGAGTCTTCCTATTCACTTTGTGGGGGAAGCCAGCTACATGAGAATATTCAGTATATGCAGAAGTCCACTTGCCTAGGAAGTGAGGTGTAGTCATGCACGTGAGCCACCTTGAAAGCAAATCCTGCAACCCTAGTCAAGCCTTCAGATTACTTTTTAAAAAAAAAAAAAAAAAGACATGGTCTTCCTCTGTCACCCAGGCTGGAATGCAGTGGCACAACCACAGCTCACTGAAGCCTCAACCTGTCGATCTGCTGGGCTCAAGCAGTCCTCCCACCTCAGCCTCCCGAGCAGCTGGGACTACAAGTGTGTGCCACCATGCCTGGCTAATTTTTAAATTTTTTTGTAGAGACGAGGTCTCACTATTGTTGCCCAGGCTGGTCTTGAACTCCTGAGCTCAAGCGATTCTCCTACCTTGGCCTCCCAAAGTGCTGGGATTACAGGTGTTAGCCACCGCACCCAGCCTGCAACCTCTTAAGAGTCAGAATCACTCAGCTAAGTGACTCTTGGATTCTTCACCCAGAGTAATTGTAGAGGATAATAAATGTTTGTTTTAAGCTGCTAAGTTTTAGGGGGGTAATTTGTTATGCAACAACAGGTAATGCATAGAAACCTGTCCAATATAACTCATGGAAATTTTGTCTTGCCATTTCATCTATTGGGATGGGAAAAGATTGAAGGACTCTTAATTGTGAACAGTCAAAAGGTTGAAAATGTTATAAGAAGTTGCTTTAAAGAGCAGCTCATAAATCAATCTTTGTAGGAAAGCTGACAATTTCCAACTATGGGGTACAGAAGTTGGGCCTTGGAGTATACTAGGTAATTCATTTTCTTAAAACTGAGGACCAGACCAGGTACTCTGTACCTCCAGTAAAGATCAATGATCACAAGGGAGAGTCACACAGGAACTAATGGAAGAAAAGGAACCCAAACTCAGACTCCTGCTGCTCCCCTCTCATTACTCGTCACATGCTTAGTTTTTTAGACCATTTCTGCCAAAGTAAACAACAGTAAATAACAGCCCAACTTACCTTTACATCTGTATTTCCTACTCCTTTTATTTCAGGCACCCATGAGTCAAACCAAACAGAACCAACCACCAGTCAAGAAAATTACGCCTTCTTAAAAACTAATCTATACCTCCTACCACACACACAATGTGATTTTTCATACAAATCACATTGTATTACACTTCAAACATCTCACTTGAGTTCTAATTATGAAGGCAGGGTCATGTTTTATGTTTTTGTGTACCTGAGGCTTAACACAGCACCTCTAGGCATATTTCAGTAAATACAGCTGGTATACGTCGTGCCATTTGACTTCTGTATTTTAGTTCCTTCTGCTTTATCATCTTAGAACACACCCTTCTCATATACCTCTGTATCTAAAATCCTGGCTTACTTCAAGTATCATCCCAAAGAAATATTCTAATTTCTACTACCACCTACCCCCATTGTCATCCTACCTCATATAAAACAGAAGTAATCCCTACCTCATCTGAACCCCCACAGAATCTAGATCTCCTACATTAAATCTTAGTTGAATGAATTAAGAGATTGAGTTCAGGACTCGTCTCCTGGAAGTCTTCCTTGAATCTGCCCTCCTTTGCTCTATCCCAACATGCACTACAATGTATTAAATCATTTGTGTGCATGCTCCACCAGCATACCCTTCCTTCTCTGATGGCACCTAGAAAGGATCAACATGCTTTCAGGACACTATCAAAAACAGTGTTACCACACTGACAGTATGGCCATTCTCATCTTAGAAATGCCTCTTTCAACTAAAAATGAATATTCTTTCTTTTTTAGATAGCAGATATATCAATTTACATGAAGAGTTCGAAGGCTAGAACAATAAGCCCAGGTACATTAAGACTAATGGTAGAAAATCGGAGGTACCAAGGCCCTATGAAAACCAAAACCACCCCACCTTCTTTGCTGCTGGCCAGATTTTGGCAGCTGAACTCAGTTAAAGTTCATGTTCCTGTTTTCTTGATAGATGTCAAAATGTAATCTAGAGCCTGCTATTCAGTATCACCTGGATGCTTGTCAGGAATGCACTCTCAAATGGTCCAGCCACCTTAGAAAATAGTTTCCCGGTTCTTTAAAATGTTAGTTACCATATGACCCAATAATTCCACTCCTAGGTATATTCCCAACAGAAATGAAAACATACTTTCACACAAAATCTTGTACATAAATGTTCATAGCTGTATTATTCATAATAGCCAAAAAATGGAAACTGATGCAGGGACACAGAAAACGTGCTATAGCCATACAATGGAGTATTATTCAGCCACAAAAAGGAATGAAGTACTGATACATGCTACAACATCGATGAACCTTGAACACTAAGTGAAAGACGCCAGGTACAGAAGTCTATAAAACGTTATGAAATGTCCAGAAGATATAAATTAAGGCAGAAAGTGGATTAACAGTTGCCAGATGCTGGTGGAGGGGAAAAGGGTGGAAGGGAGAGGGGGATGGGGAGTGATAGGTACAAGGTTTCTTTTTCAGCACGGTGAAAATGTCCTGAAATTAGAATGGTGATAGTGGAACAACTCTACATGCTAAAAAACAGTTAATTGGACAGTTTTAAAGAGTGAATTTTATGGTATGTGAAATATATTTCAAACTACTTTTAAAAAAAGAGAAAATAAATTCAAATTCTCCAGGTTGACCCCAGACCTACTAAATCAAAATCTGCATTTTAACAAGATCCCTGGTGATTCCCATACACACTGAAGTTTGAGAAACAGTGATTTAAAAGATACATGGTCAAAATTGTTCCTCTGGTTAATCTCATTCACAGAATAGTTAACTTGATTTCACTAGGGTGAATTTTTTCTGCCACAATTGCTTGCTATACAATTAAATGCTCATATTGATTCTACAACTTCTGGTTTTTCCCTCAAAAATTTGCAAAGTTTTAGTACTGGTTGGAACCTGCACCGAACTAGGAGCAAAGCCTTGGCACTTTTTCTTTTTTCTATTGAGACAGGGTCTCGCTTTGTCGCCCAGGCTGGAGTGCAGTGGCTTGTTCTCAGCTCACTGCAGCGTTGACCTCCCAGGATCAAGTGACCCTCCCACCTCTCAGCCTCCCAAGTAGCTGGGGTGAGAGGTGCACAACATCAGGCCCAGTTAACTTTCTGTCTTTTTAGTAGAGATGGGGTTTTGCCACGTTGACCAGGCTGGTCTCGAACTCCTTAGCTCAAGCAATCCTCCTGCCTGAGGCCTCCCAAAGTGCTAGGATTATAGGTGTGTGCCACCACATCCGGCACACATGTATTTTTTAATCCTCAACAGTACTGGGTATATAGAAGATGCTGTCACTTTAATTAAACCACCAGTTTTGAAGGGAGTGGCAATAACATACGTAAAGTGAACAAAGAAGGTAGAGAATCTAATGGGAAATAAGACAAAAAAAACTCACTCACTTCAGAAAAGTTTATTAAAGGTAAAATCAGATTTACAGAGTATAAAACAATAAGGGATAGAGGTGAAGAGGTTTCAAACAAACTATGAGTACAATAGAAAGTAAATTACCTACCTGGGGTTCTCACAGCACTTTTTCTTTACTTCTGCACAAAGCCTAATGTGTTTTTTAAAAAATCCTTGGAAAAGTCTCAGCAGTCATATATTCTCATGATTTAGCAGTTAAACAAAATGTCCACAATCCACAAAGAAAGAGGGGTGGACCTAAGTGACAGGGTACTAAACATATATACTATGATAAGCTCTGCTTCCTCTGTTCCAGTTCTTTAAATTTTGTGTCTGTGTTTTTTGGGGAAACGGTTATCATGCAAAATGACTGTCTTGGAAGCAGGAGTTGAGGAAAGGAAATTCTGGGCTCTCTAAAAAGCCTTCTTGCCTCCTTGGTGCAGTAAGCAGCATGTCTTGTAAAAAGCCTAACTTCTACCAGACTTATAACCATATTATGCAATTGGTACTTTTTTAACTAAGCAAATTTTATAAAGAATTTGAAACGTTTTGTGGGTACTTATAGCCAGGTACTGCACATAAATATCACACTCAAATTAAGAGTGCAGGCTCTGCAATCAGCCTGTATGGGTTCAAATATTGATCCCAGATCACAGTTATGCAAACTTAGGCCAAGTTACTTAATTTTTCTGCCTTCCTTTAACAATAAGCTTTAGTATTAGTACATACCTCAGAGAACAGTTATGAGAATTAAAAAAATATACGTAGTTTAAAACAGTACCTGGCACACACGAGTATTTAGTGTAGATGCACACAGAGCTTCTTTCATATAGAATGTGTCATATTCAGATTTACACACTAGTTATTAGTGTTAATGGGAAAATGGAATTAGCCTCATTTTATTAGATTTTGATTCCCTAAACTACAATTCTATCTGTATCATGTCAATAAAAATGAACTCCTTGAGCACATGAACTATATGCTAGTCTACCTTTGTATACTCCAGGATGGCGGAATGTGTCTTTTTACCACATGAGGTGATGCCATTAGTATATTCCAGGGCCTGGCACGACATCTATTACATGGGTGTGTAATAAATGTGGAATAATTTATTTCTGGTAATTTATGGATTATCTACAAAACCAATATAAGTGGATGTTATTAGAGACCTTTAAAAACCTATAATTTTACTCATATTTGCTGCAAATAAGAGTAATGCAAATGTAATGCTGAATGGAACTTTTGAGGCATTAAAGATTTTTTTCCTATATAGTGAGGAATAAAACTAAGACTTGATTGAAATAACTTTTTTAAAAAAAAGGATTTGAGCACAACAGGACAACAAAAATTGGCCCTTTGTACACTTCGGTGCAATTTCTGTCTTAGCTGCTGAGAAGCAGAGGAAAAGCACCACCTTGCTCAGAAACTACCTTCTCCACAATACTGAGAAACACACCAAACAGGGGCAAGGCTTTTTGAAGCTAGGAATAAAGAAGCTGCCCATCTTTACTAATAGGAAACAACGGGTTTTAAGGTACCCAGTAAGAGTCTTTCTTCAAAACAGACATCTCACTTACCTTTTCAGTATACTTCCTAAAAACATTAAAGACAGATGTAAGGCTTAGCTGGTAATTTCCATGAACTCAGTCTTTTCCTCTGACTGTGGTGGAGCAGACACGATTAAGCAGGTTTGGAAATGCTAGAAATGAATTCCTACTTCCCCTTGTATTCTTCAGATCTCATTTTCCCCCAAATTTCTGCAGTGGTTGGCTTCCATTTCAGCATCAGTCACGAAATCTTGAAGGTCAGACACAGTAAACAGGGAAGGACATAAAATTAAGTGATTTGGGCGTAGTTTTGAGTCTCACAACTTTAACAGGGATGAGTCATACATTAAAGTATGTCGAAATAAATTACAAGTTCTGTTCCTTAACGAAAATCAACTCTTAGTCAAGCTAAAGGTATTAGTTTGCTATAGTCTGAAATTCTGTATGTTCCTTTAATAAATGTTGAGGGGAAAAAAGATGTAATTCCCATGAAGACCAAACACAAGTTGATCAATTCAGTGTGAGTCTTTGTCCTTGATTTATTTTGCAGTACAAATGTGTAAAGGAAAAAACAAAGGGAATAAAAAATACTAGCAGATTGTTCTAAGTGATTTTCCAATTTGCCAATCAAATTTGAAGTATTTTATTTACCTACCAATTAAGTCAGAAAAAAGGAAGTGAATGTTAAATGATTATTAGTAGTATAAGCTTTAAGTTTAAAAGATAAGGGTTATTTAATTCAACTGTTTTCTTGGTTATAGGAAATTAGCATTCAAATTAACTTCATTAAGATAGGAGAAAAAATACTGAATAATTCATCTGGATGGAGTTAGCCAGGAAATGTCTTTATATTTTGCAAAATTATAAATTGAAACCAAAATCTGATATACTTCTAGGTTAGCAAACAAAATTCTTTTTATTTGCTTCCTATAAATCATTAAACAGGTTTGCTGTACTCACTCAGTGACACTTCAACTCCCTTTGAAACCCAAGTGACAGAACTAGGTCACTACTTTGGGAATGGAATTGTGAGTAGCTAGATCAGAGAAACACTGAGACTGACAAAACTTGCTTTTTTGGAAAATGGAAGAAAAAGTCATCAGTATGCCATAAGAGTTAGAGCATTCTGACCATAAAATCAGGCAGTTATCCTTGCTGACTGGTCCTGGATTCCAAATGACACATTCCTTCTCAATGTATTCAATCCATCAGCAGCTCAGAAGCAATCCACACTGGAGACCATTTAAAAACGTGCATTTTGCAATAACCATTATCTATCTTAGCAGCTAGAAAGGCAAAACAAAAGTTAGCATATCAAACTATCTTTAGGGGCTAGAGCAGAATATGAATTCATTAACGATAAATATAATTACTAGAAACAATGAAAACTGATCCAGAGGAATTTTAAGAAAACAAAAAAACCCTCAAAATGTCTATTATGCCAAGTACGGTCAAAGTATTCAAGCATCCTCCTCCCTCTCCACAACTTCTATTTTTTTCTCTCTTCTTTTTTCTTAAGGGGTGGGAGTCTTGCTATGTTGCCCAGGCTGGAGTGCAGTGGCTATTCACAAGTACAGTCATTGTGCACTACAGCCTTGAAGGCCTGGGCTCAAGCCTCAGCCTCCCAACTAGCTGAGACTAGAGGCACATACCACCGTCCCTGACTTACAACTTCTATTTTCAGGTTAGATTCCAGAAGTGTAAGAAGTATAAAATATCATGGATGATATTTAGTATTCACTAAACTGGAAGGAGAGCCAATGAATTTACTTATACTGCCCAATTAAATAATCAACATTGAACTCATCTTCAATCCCAGAAAAATCCATGAATGAAAACTGGACATAGCAACAATTGCTACTGATGCCAGACTGAAATAGCAAAGGGCAAGAGGAATTCATGCTACCTACTCTTCACTTTATAAAGAAAAATAAAGAAAAAATAAATTTAAAAAAGAAAAGGAATTTCATTTTTTCTGAGGAAAAAAACTGAGAAATTAAGTAAGACAGAGTTTGCAAATATATGAATGCTGGGCTCAATGTTTCTTAGTTTGCAGTTAAAAAGAAACATTCACAAGGAAAACAAATGTACATGTAAGTCACTTTCAAAGCAAAAAGATACTGCTTGGCCGGGGATGGTGGCTCACGCCTGTAGACTCAGCTACTTGGGAGGCTGAGGCAGGAGACTCGCTTGAACCCGGGAGGCAGAGGTTGCAGTGAGCCAAAGTCACACCACTGCACTCCAGCCTGGAGGACTGAGACTCAGTCTCAAAACAAACCAAACAAATAAAAAAACCAAAGCAAAAAGACACTGCTCAAAGCTAATCCATGGGCAGTACCTGCATTAAAACTGTTATCTGCAAATAAGGCAAAAATAAATACTGTTTGTTGCAGAGTGGAAATGCATCCTAGATTGGATTAAGCTAAGAGGCTTGAGAGGTGGCAACCACGGACTTCTGCTCTTAGACATCCTGGTTTGTAATATTTTGTTGTTCTGACAGCCAACTTGATCATTCTTCCTTGCATTATAAATTTTCACAGTAAATCTTACCTTCGGGGTCAGTGGTAACACCTATAATACTTGTTTGTATTTAAAATCCTCTAATATCCAATACATTTAATCACAGCCTCACTGACATCTCAATTGCCCTTGAGACTCAAAACAGAGGGGGAACTTCTGAGAAATGTAATTATTATACCTCTGTGCTTAGGTTGAAGACAACTTCATGATCTGGAGAATTAATTACTTTTTGTTTCTCTTCATGCCTGGTTTATAAGAAACTGAACATTGGACATGAGAAAAAGTAGAGGTCCTATCACTTTACAGGTGTTTTTATCATTCATTTGAAGTCTATTCCAAAGACATCAGTTATCCCACATATAAAGGTGCATATAAACTCTCACTTCAAAGTTAAACTACTCTGAGCTATTCATATTTGCATTCTTCTCTAATGGTGTAAATAATCAAGAACCAGAGAAGTTACGCCTTCATCGTAACAGCCATATTTCTCTGGCCTATATAGCAAATCCAGTTACATTTTAAAGTGTGTGCGTGGTTCTTTAAAACATTAATTTCAAACACATGAATAACATTATTGTTTTATTTAACCCAATATTCAGTGATCCCTGACTGGGTTGGGCTCAGTAACATGTCTTTCAAAAACAAAAAAAATACTAGACTCATATATATTTTTTGAGTAAAGCTGCTGGCTTTGTCTCCATACTTCCACTCTGTTCTCTTGACTCAGTTCTCAATTCAGGGCCAAAGTCAAGAGCAAAACTGAACCTGTAGGCTAGTCCTTGGTAAAAGTAAGGCAAAATGGCAACTGACTTGGCAATCTCTCCCAATTTGGGGATGCCCTGGACACAGTAAGCAGAGTCAAATGTAAACTACGTCCTAAGAAAATGGCAATTTCTGTAGTCTCAGGTCATGAAAATACATTTTTAAAAACTAATTGTCTGTTAAAATTATTTTAGTTGTGAAATGTTAACAATATCAGGATAAGGAGTTAGACAAAAAATCTTGGACATAATTTCCAGTTTTTTCCTATATATACTTTCTCAACAATCTAAAGCCACCAAAATTCTCTTCATGAAGTCTTATCCTATCTGTTGCCTAATGATGATGAAGGAGATCAGATTTGGGATTTACAGATGTCCTCCTCTGGAGACGCTTTTGCTCTGGGACTGATGGATACCAGTGCTGTTAGTCATTTCTGCTACCTGGATACAGAGCATCTGGTGTAAATTTGTGCATCCAGCCTGGCTCCCATTTTCCCCCAACAGCATGCTTAAGGAATGAAATGCTCATTTCATGTTAGTTGTAAGCAATCTACATACAAAGCATATCAGGGTACAAATTACTTAATATGTATTTTTATCATCTCCTACCTCCCTAATGCTGAACCCCACTCCATTCCCTGCAAACTTTTGTTTTAAATTTTAATTTGAGAAAATATTTTTCCTACATAATTGTCTTCTCCTAACATCTGTGGACATTCTTCCCACTTTCTTTGAAAAAGATATTATATCATGCTTCTGGAAATTAAGGGGAAAAAATCAGTGCTAAAACTAGAGGTTGAAACTAGAGGCAGATCTATAGTAGAAGTATATATTACTTTTCATAAAAATTCTCACCCAAAAAGTCCTATCAAAGGGGTTGCAAAGTTTATCTGGTTACCACCCTCCTCCCTTTCTTCTTGCCTTTGGTCCCATGAGTGAGCCTTAGAAATCATGGTCACCAGCAGACTGCCAGGGACAAAGTGAATGGAAGTTACTTTTGAGAAGGGGGATTCAGGCTGGGCATGGTGGCTCACGCCTGTACTCCCAGAACTTTGGGAGGCTGAGACGGGTGGATGACCTGAGGTCAAAAGTTCGAGACCAGCGTGACCAACGCAGTGAAACCCCATCTCTACCAAAAAGACAAAAATCAGCCAGGTGTGGTGGCAGGCACCTGTAGTCCCAGCTACTCAGGAAGCTGAGGCAGGAGAACTGCTTGAACCTGAAAGGTGGAAGTTGCAGTGAGCCAAGATTATGCCACTGCACTCTAGCCCGGGCGACAGAGTGAGATTCAGTCTCAGAAAAAAAAAAAAAAAAAAAAAAGAGAAGGCGGATTCCATCTTCCCTTTAGGTAGAGATGTGGCATGGAAGCAGTGACTGAAGCTACTGTAGTTTCATTGGCCAAAGGTTATAAATTTCTAGCCCAAACTTTCAAAGGAAAATGTCACCACTATCTTTTAATCATAGGTAAATCAGTTATTACCCTCTTCCTCTTTCATGAAAATACTAACATATGTACTCTAATACCATGATACAGCGCTATTAATCAGGCCCTTATTTTTCAATCTAAACTGAACTTTCAAGTAACTTTTAAAAAAATGCCAAAGCAAGGAAGAAAAGTGAGAAAATTTGTATTCGATTCTACAGTTATATAATCTGTGGGGGTAGTCACTTTCAAAATAAATGGACATTTTCATATGTCAATAGCCACACTTGTATTATTTACACCATTTCTCCTTGCTTTATGAAACAAATTTATATATATATATATCAGATGAAATTTCCTACTGACAACAATTTCAAAGATGCCTTACCATCTTTGTATTTTTTTTTTACAAAATTGACGAAACTTGTATATATTTACCATATGATGCTTACCATCTTTATTTCTGATTACTCTTAAGCAGCATCTTCTCCTTTCCTCCACTAACTTTTTTAAAAAGTAAATTCTTCAGTGGACTAATGGTTCCATCTGATTGATACCTTGGGTGAAATTCCTAATTTTATCTTGCTAAATAACTTAGTTTACTATAATATAAACAGAATGTACAAAGTGGAATATTTTTAATATATTCTTAATCTCAACCTTTCCTAGAATTCCATCAAAGGTTTGTTCTGAAAGATATGATAAAGACAAATCAAAGCAGGAAGAGATCTAGGTTTGTAAAAATACAGTTTAAAAAAAAAAGGAAGAGAATTTATATTATGCATTTGCAGAAGCTCTTGTTCTCATAGATTTTGCAGAACTAGTCCTTTTCAATCATTTAACTAGGAAGTTCTACTCCAAGTGAATAAAGTTTAAGCAAACTTCAAGTAACTCCAAGTAAAAGACATTGAAGACAACTAGTTTCCAAAGAACACTTGTTTGACAGAATTAATGACTAAATTAACCTTAAAATTTAAAAATGTGTGACATACCTTGTTAATAATTAAAATAAAGGCTGTTTTAAAGCAACTTTATGAAGCAAAAGAGTAAGTCACTTCCAAGGTTCCTTGGTCTTCTGCAACTTCTAGGCACGGAAAAGAACTTACAAGGACATGCAGGGTTCACTGTGGTATGTCTGTCTCAGGTATGTGAGATATGATATGGGGCTTAAATCCAATAAGGGCTCTGGGGAAATAAGAAAGCATTTAGGGACAAAGCAGGCCTGATTCTGAAAAACTGAAACCATGTTTTAGATTCACGTTTGCTATTCACTTTACGATTAAGTAATTCAAGTCTTCTGGATAAAATTTCACACAGAAGGGAAATACTACGAAGTCCTAAGTATGTCCTAATGTAACATGAGATAACCTTTCTTGACCTTTGTGATTAAGGGAATTGATGCTCTATTTATAAAAATAAAAGAGAAATGAAATATAAGTAACTGTTTTGGCTTAAACAATATCATTTAAATTGTTTCATAAACAATTTTTTTTCAGATTGAACATGCCAAGTATGCAACTAAACAATAAGAAAATTTTCACAACCCTAATGTTAGAAAATGTTCCATTTTATACTTTTTACCTATGTCCTTCTTCAAGCCTGAGTGCTCCAATACATGCTAGTGGAAAAAAAAATCAAAATTAGCATTAACATAAAGATTTTCAATTAATACTATAAATAGAATCCCCAGAGGGGAAAAAGGCCAGAATAAAATAAACTCAAATATGTGACTGAATGAGTAACCCTTGAGACATACAAAATCAAACTGTATTACTTACCAAACCTCTACACCATCTCCTGACAGATATCCAGAAAAAAACTGGGAAATCTAAAATGTATCATAAATTGGCAGAGAACACTTTAATAGCCCTCCCCCTAAACAATATAATTCAAAATGGAAATTTCTAAAATAATTAAGTATTATCATTCTGAAGTGTCTTATATAATTTCTAAACTTATGAATACATTTCCAGAGTTTTCTGCGCCCAAGGATGCTAAAACCATTCAAAAAGAAAGGGGGAGAAAAAAAGAAGAAAAGCAAAAGTTAAAGCTTATATATAACGAGAAAAATCCAAAACAGACCATAGGGTAGAGAGAAGATGAGGGGAGAAGAAAGAAAGGAAAAGAGACAACACCAAAGTTAAAAAGCAAAGCAAAATGAAAACCTTTTATCTATAGCACTTTGGGGCTCTATTTTGTAAAGACTAGTTATTATGATTTGAATGATAGCTCAATGACTAAATACTTGCTGTAAACTTGAAAAAAAAAAAAAAGGTGAATTAAACCTCCCTGCACCTCAGTGTCTTCATCTGTAAAGTGGAATTATTATTTTAAAGAACACCTAAAAAGTACTTTAAAAAAAAAATTTCAAGATGGCAGTCCTCTCACCTTGGCCTCAGAAAGTGCTGGGATTATACAGGTGTGAGCCTAAAAAGCAATTTGAACAGCACTTGGCACTTACTAAGCACTTAACAAATACTAGCTATTAGAATTAGATAAGAGTATATATTTAAATAGTATTTTATACACTATTTTTATTTTTGCAAGGGAAAAGCAGTGATCTCCCTGAGGGGCTCCCTGAATGGCTGGAATTTCAGCTTCAGGGTTTGACAATGTATCTAATGATATTTAACTTTCAGAATAGCTTCAGGTACATTCTGCAAAATACTCTTGACGAAGTAGCTGACCCAAATATGGCAGCACTCCTCTTGCCTGGCATCAATTAATACTATTGATATTAGAAAAGAGATGGAAGGCAGAACGCCCTTAAATATAGTATCAGCACCCTTAATCATGGGTAAACTGAATGCTCAAGTTTGCTGTGGGGATAACCAAATCCACCAAGACATACTTAATTCAACCAACTTAATTTATTTTATTCCTTTCCTCTAAAAAACTCAAGCTCAAGCTTTTGTACATACAAAGAATCACACATATATCAATCACAAAATATGGAAAAGAAAGTATCCTGCAATGCTAACTAAGGTCAGGGGTAACAGAAGCACACAACAGCAGATTAAATTTTAAAAATTTAAACCTTTAGAATAAACCTTCTGGTGTTTTTTTTTTTTAGTTTTTAAATTCAAAACTCCCCACACAGTAAGTCTAACATAAAAAATATATTGTAACTAGCTCTAAAGAGCTAAATATGTATTGCTAGAGAAAGGTAAGAATGAAAAAAAAGAACCAGAAAGGTAAATTTTTAGTTGTAGTATCTATAGTTATCACAAACTAGCCATACAATTATCACTTAACCTTTCTGGGCCTCAGTTTTCTCACAGTAAAACAGGGATACTACTACCTAAATCAAGGTTATTGTGGATATAAAGATAATACAAACCACCTAGCGTCGTGTGTCTGGCATATAATAGTACTCAATGAATGAGTACTATTCCTATAAATGGGGGAGGAAGGGTGTTGCATTAGATATCAAGTCTAAGGTCAAAATATCAAGAAGCCTTTCTTATTCATACATTTCCTCAGGAAGAGACAGCTAAGGCATAAACACCATAAGAAGGCACGTCTAACAGACTCCGTCTAAGGCAGTTTATCACCACAATTAAATAATTCTTTTCAACAGTTTTACCTATAGCATGGATAACTACAGCGATATGCACATAGACCACAATAACATGACAGTACCTTTGCTTTCAGAAAACACAACAGAATACGATATGTACCCACCTATGCAATTTTTAGGAATAGAAACAACTGGGAAAACAACTGGGTTGTTTTCTGCCATTTGGTCTGTGATCGTTCATGAAGTGGGATTTTGACAACTGTGAAGCAAGAGACTGCTCTATAATAGTCAAGAGCAGGAAATCGTCAGTTTTGCCCTCCAAACCTCTGAACGCAAACTCTCATATGGACTAATCCTAACCATTTTATTATTTTCTATTTACAGATTTTGTTACCCACAGAATCTAGATATTAAGATTCAGTCCAAATTTGTTGTCTGTCACTTAAATAATTCCAAATACCCCCTGAAGAGGGCCACTGGTTGGGGCCTGTAAGTTATTTTGTACATGACTCAACCATATATTTCTATTATTTCATCAGTGACAACACATTCCAATCTTTGTCTTAGGAAAATGAAATAACTGCCAAAATAATTGCTAGAAAGTAATGGGTTAAAGAAAGGTGGACCAAAGTATGGGGAAAAAAATCAGCATCACCTTCCTAAGGATGACAGAAAAGTCTTAGGCAGAATTGCAGACAGATTGGGAAATTAATAAAAGGTTTAAAGGAAACATAAGATGCCAAGGAAGTATATGAAAGTTCTCAAACTTCAAGAATTTAAACTTGACACCATGACATAGTAGGCATGTGGGTGTCTGTGTGATGATTATGACAACTGCGTAGGACAAATAGGGTAGTATGAGGGATTGGGCAGGATGACGAGGAAGAGGAATAATAATCTAGCAACCAACTTTTAAGGCCCACAGCAGTGCTTCCTACCCTATTAAGTCTTGGATTTTGGAATATATTAGACTAAATATGAATTAATTTTGTCTCCTTTAACAGAACATTAGCTCCATAGGAGAGAGCCTGTCTTACTCACTGTCGTATTTTCAGTACCTAGAATATCTAACATAAAAATGACCTTCTAACATTCAAAATAGTCTGAATCTGATATAAAAGCTGTTGTAATTAATAAAAGATAATTCACTTACAAAATATTGCTGAATTCCTAGAATCTTTTTAATGTAAGTTTTCTAATCAACTGATTACAACTCCAATCAAGTACTAAACTATAGCTGTTATTTCTTATGGCTGGTCTGGTATTTTTTTCTACATTGGTTCCAAGTCATTATCCTAAAAGAAAGGTTAAAAAACACCACCTTAGGATATTGGATTAATGACTAGAGATATTAAGAAAAAGACATCATAGAGAAGAATCACCACGACTTAACAGAAAATTCAACAAAAAGAACTATTAAGATTTCAATTGGTGGGATCAAAAGGTGTTTCTCAAACTCACAATTTTCATGGCTAAGCCTATAAGGTTTTCTTTCCTTTGCCAAATGTTCCCCCTGTATACCCGTGACTGCACAGTGCCAGTGCCTGGAACACTGATATTCACTACATGTTTCTAAGTGAACAAATGCTTGTAACTGTCTTTTAACATTATCAAGTTTCATGTGATCTGGAGGCACATACGAGATTGTAGACTGAAAGACTGGGGTTAGAGATATGACTTGAGAGTATATTAAAATCCAGTAGAGCCCCAACCAATGGATGAAGCCCCTAATGAGGGATAAAAAGACATGGGAAGAGGTGTTATAGGGCCAACAAAATACACGGAATTATGGATCAAACAGAACCAGCAAAAGCTAGAACAGTTTGGAAGTTTATCCAACTGTGTCAAAAATAAAGGATCAAGAATAACAACCGGGAGGAAAAAGGCAGCTGAAATGACCTGAAGATTACTGCTGCTATCACCCACTGGCTTTGACTGAACAGCAACTAAATTCTGTAACTAATCCCAGGCAGAACACAGCTAGATAGAACCCCAAAGCAACTGAGGGCACCTTGTAAGTCAGATAGATACCCATTTGAAATTCTGAAGTTGGTCTTGGTGCTAAATATAACTACAGCCAGTCTGGCTTTCATTAATACCTTCCAGGTCATTAAGTAAGTCCCAGTTCTGATATTGCTGGCTATTTATTCAATCAACAAGATATACATATGACCTGTTACTATTAGAGAACAAATTTTCTTGGCTGGATGAGGTGGCTCATGCCTGGAATCCCAGCACTTTGGGAGGCCAAGGTGGGCGGATCACTTGAAGTCAGCAGTTCTGAGACCCGCCTGGTCAACATGGTGAAACTCCATCTCTATTAAAAACGCAAAAATTAGCCGTGTGTGGTGGTGCACACCTATAGTCCCAGCTTCTCGGGAGGCTGAGGTGGGAGAACTGCTTGAACCCAGGAGGCGGACGCTGCAGTGAGCTGAGATCAAGCCACTGCACTCCAGCCTTGGCGACAGAGCAAGATTCTGTCTCAAAAAAAAAAAAAGAAAAGAAAAAAAAAAGCCAATAGGTTTTCTCAAAGTTAACAGGAGATCAGGATGCCATTTAGCTTTGCTTATGAATTCCACTACAGCCTTTCTCCAGGAATCAAAGTTAGTGAAAAACTACCAGGAAATAAATTCTGGTTCTTTTTTTTTTTTTGGGACAGTCTTGCTCTGTCGCCCAGGCTGGAGTGCAGTGGCATGATCTCGGCTCACTGCAACCTCTGCCTCCCAGGTTCAAGTGATTCTCTTGCCTCAGCCTCCCGAGTAGCTGGGATTCGAGGCATGCACCATCATGCCCGGCTAATTTTTTGTATTTTTAGTAGAGATGGAGTTTCACTATGTTGTCCAGGCTGGTCTTGAACTCCTGACCTCATAATCCACCCACCTCGGCCTCCCAAAGTGCTGGGATTATAGGCGTGAGCCACCGCATCTGGCCCTGTTTTATCTTTCTTCTATGATGCATGCCTAGGCAAATCATGAAGTGAAATGGGAATAATGCCCCATTTCTTTTTTTTTTTTTTTGGAGATGGAGTCTTGCTCTGTCGCCCAGGTTGGAGTGCAATGGTGTGATCTCGGCTCACTGCAACCTCCACCTCCCAGGCTCAAGCAATTCTCCTGCCTCAGCCTCCCGAGTAGCTGGGATTACAGGTGTCTGCCACCACGCCCAGCTATTTTTTTGTATTTTTAGTAGAGACGGGGTTTCACCATGTTGGCCAGGCTGGTCTTGAACTCCTGACCTCAGGTAATCCACCCACTTCAGCCTCCAAAAATGCTGGGATTATAGGCATGAGCCACCGCACCCAGCCTAATGCCTCACTTCTAAAACACACACACACACAAACAGAAAGATAACAACTGGGGATAATTTGGAAGGATTTTTTTTTTTAAGGATGATTAACACGACACAAAACCATGGTTAATACATATGCATCCAGCATACTTCATTACCTTCCAGTAGCCACTTCAAAGACGTAATAGAAAGCCAGGGAAGGTACAAAACAGTGAAAAGGAAGTATTCACAGAAATAAAGTGGCTTTTGACTTCAAAGAATAAGAACTCCAATCTGGAGAGAAGAAGTTAAGGATAAAATTGAATTACACGTAAAATTGTAGTAAGTTGCAGATAAAATACCACAGCCTGGCTCAATCTTATTAAAAACAATTTGAAACAAATTCTGAAACACTCTAACTAGGAGATAATTGGAAACTGGCGAAAGTGTTGAATCACAAAATGTTTAGTAAATGTGTGACAAAAGTCACAAGCACGAAAAAAGCAGTTTGAGAAATTAGTAAAGTCTCAAAAAGGGCATTGTTCAATTAGTGAAGGCTTACTGACAGCACACAATTTACAAAACGGAAGTTTCTGAGCTATTGAGAGGCTATCATTAATCTTAATATCACAACAGAAAATAATTTTTGTTCTTTTTTCTGGAATACCAGTTGTTGGCCCCACCTATAGTCCCGGGCTGGAGAAACTATTAGCATAACCAGCTAGTGAGTAGTATCCCAGTTTTTCAAAGAAGCCTAATGACATTTACCTAACATGACTGCACAGAACAAGTAAAATCCAGAAGGCAGTACACAGTGGTGTTATATATGAGTTCTGGGCCAGGTGCAGTGGCTCAAATCTATAATCCCAGCACTTTGGGAGGCTGAGGCAGGAGGATCGCTTTGAGCCCAGGAATTCGTGCCACTGCACTCCAGCCTGGGCGACGAAGTAAGACCCCATCTCGTAAAACAAACAAAAAATGAGTTCTGGTATCAGATCTACCTGGGTTCAATACTAGATGGGCGACTTCTAGTTGGCACGCCTTAGACTAAAATATGTGTGTCTAGTATCCACATTTATACTTACTTTACAGGGTTAGTATGAAGTTCAGTAAGTTAACATAAGGTATTTAAGACAATGGCAGCATGCTGGAAATACTCAGTATTAGTTTGCTTTTGAATGAAATTATAACCATTTCAATGTGTTAACCTCAGTTCTCTCATGCTAGAAGTTCCAGATGGCAGTTTATGGGTCTTAGAACTCTTTTTGTTAAAGATAGGGTCTCGTTCTGTCATCCAGGCTGGAGTGCAGCAGCAAGTGGCACCATTATGGCTCACTGGAGCCTCAACCTCCCCAGCTCAAGTGATCCTCCCACCTCAGCTGGGACTATAGGCATGATCTACCACACCCAGCTAATTTTTGTATTTTTTGTAGAGATGGGGTTTCGCCACGTCGCCTAGGCTAGTCTCGAACTCCTGGGCTCAAGCAATCTGCCTGCATTGGCCTCACAAAGTGTGGGGATTACAGGTACGAGCCATTGCGCCTGGCTGGTCTTAGAACTCCTTAAAAAAGAAAATGTTTATGGGTGAAAAATAATAAATAGAGAATGAAGAGCTGAAAAGGCTGGTTTAGCCACTAGGCTAAACTATGTATTCTTAGGAGACATGTAGTCCTGAGTTTTTTGTTTTGTTTTTAAATAGGAGCTATTATCATCTATGTTTTCTTTCTAAAGAAATCACCTCAGCAGTCACTTCTGTCAAATGTACTAATGTTCTATAATATAAAAAATGTATATCAGACACTAGATTAACCAGTTTCATAAGTCATAGTGAGGAATGGAAAAGCTTGATTTCATCGGGAACCTTATGAGTTACAGGAAATGGATTAAACTGTTATTTTTGGTAAATCTATTCCATTTTAACCAAGCAACATCTGTATGTCTGTTTTTCTTCAGGGAGGGAGAAATGGTTCAGAAAAGTGATCATTACTTCAGTTCTGACCAAGGATTTCTCACATGAAGCTTTAAGTTTTCAGCAATGGAAAAATATTAGGAAACCTACCTTCACCTTTGTTCCTTCAGATTCACACAATCACTCCACCTTTACATTTTAATATTTTCTTTAAATAAAATTTGAACTAGATAGGTGAAAATTCTTAAAAATCAAGTTACTTGATCATATCCAGTGAACATTAAGCTTAATTTTTTTTAGTCAGCTAAAAAAAAATCAGAATATACATTTTACAAACTCTTCTGCTGTCCTAATCTAAATTATATACATTATTCATGTATTGCAATTACAATCTGAATATTTTATTAGGAGCACAGGACACCTTTCAAACTTCCAGTGGTGTTTCTGGAACATTTGGTTTGATGATTATCACTACTATTTATAAACCTTTTATTATCTCCTACAATCTTCTCTAAATTATTTGAAGACAATGACCATAACTTACTAATTTTGTATTCCTAACTCCTGAAACAAATACCCAATGGCCATGAAATTTAGAATGAATATCATATCAATTATCAATGTTAGGTATAAACTAGACTTAACATTTTCAATATATGGCTGACTTTGAACTAGTTATCTACATTTGATTGATGATGTTTAAGATCAATCCATTTAATGATATCCCTTCCTAAGCATTAACAGGTTGCTCGAGATGTTACTGCACTTTCTGAAAAGAAAAGTTAAATACTTTTATAATACTTCTTAAGGACAAAAGCCAGGAGGGGAATTTCTGGAAATTCCTATTATCGTATCACACTATGAAGAAATAAACTAGCAATTGTCATATAGGTCTTGCAATCCTCATTTTCAAGACAAAAAACCCCATGTTACATCAATAAAAACAAGATTAGAATTAAGAATTTCCAACAATATTGCAAGCCATGATAAAGGTTTCAACAGAACTCAATTTGGGTTCTGTTATCTTATTAGAATTAAACATTTTTCTCAAATGTTTATTGGTAGGCAAGATCACATAAGTTATATACTGAGAATAACATGTTGAGTGTTCAGCTAGTGGAGTACTCACACTTCTTTATTCAAGGCTACATATATTTATATACACTTAAGCAATCTGCCACAGCCAGAATCTTTTTTTTTTTTTTTTTTGAAACAGGGTCTCACTCTGTCATCCAGGCTGGAGGGCAATGGCATAATCTCAGCTCACTGCAGCCTCTGCCTCCCAGATTCAAGTGATTCTCCCACCTCAGCCTCCTGAGTAGCTGGTGCTACAGGTGCACTCCACCACACTCGGCTAACTTTTGTGTTTTTTGGTAGAGATGGGGTTTCACCATGTTGGCCAGGCTGGTCTTAAACTCCTGACCTCAAGTGACCTGCCTGCCTCAGCCTCTCAAAGTGCTGGGATTACAGGCATGAGCCACCATGCCTGGCCCAATTACAATCTTTTGAAAAAATTTTATGAAACATTTATCCTTGTTTTGACTTACTTTCCAGATTAAAAGATAAGCAGGCACAGTGGCTCACACCTGTATAATCCCAGCACTTTGGGAGGCTAAGGCGGGCAGATCACTTGAGACCAGGAGTTCGTGACCAGCCTAGCCAACATGGTGAAACCCCATCTCTACTAAAAACACAAAAATTAGCTGGGCATGGTGGTGCGCACCTGTAATCCCAGCTACTCGGGAGGCCAGGCAGGAGAATCGCTTGAACCACGGAGGCAGAGGTTGCAGTGAGCCGAGATCATGCCACTGCACTCCAGCCTGGCGAAAGAGCAAGACTCCGTCTTAAAAAAAAAAAAAAAAAAAAAGAGTTTTTAAAACCATCTTTCTTTCTGTATCAGAGAAGATAACATTTCCTGTAAGAATACATATGGAAAGCAGGTTCTCTACACCCACCAATTTTACGGCCCAGCATAGTGGCTTCCGTTATGTGTAATTCTGTATCTTGCATACAAATGCACACACACACTCAGGTCTGATAAGTAAACCTTTTAACAAACTCTTCTATAATGGCCTTGAAAAATATAGGACTAAGTCCCAGCGCGCTGGCTCACGCCTGTAATCCCAGTACTTTGGGAGGTCGAGGCAGGCGGATCACCTGAGGTAAGGAGTTCAAGACCAGCCTGCCTGAAGTGGGGAAACCTGTCTCTACTATAAATTAAAAAATTAGCCAGGTGTGGTGGTACGCGCCTGGAATCCCAGCTACTCAGGAGGCTGAGGCAAGATAATCGATTGAACCTGGAAGGCAGAGGTTGCAGTGGGCTGAGATCATGCCACTGCACTCCAGCCTGGGCAACAGAGTGAGACCCTGTCTCAAAAAAAAAAAAAATGTATAGGACTGAAACTAAAAATTAGGCGATGGGATAGCTTAAAATATTTGCTTTTTGTTTTTGTTTTTTGAGATGATGTCTCACTGTATTGCCAAGGCTGGTCTCCAGGGATCCTCCTGCAATCTTTTCCAAACAAGTATTAAGTTTACCTAGGTTAAAAACTTTTTTTTTTTTTGAGACAGGGTCTCACTCTGTCACCCAAGTTGGAGTACAGGGGCCTGATCGCAGCTCACTACAACCTCGACTTCCCGGCCTCAAGTGATCCTCCTACCTCAGCCTCCCAGGTCTGGGTCTACAGAGGTGTGTCACCATGCCCAGCTAGTTTTTTAAATTTTTTGTAGAGATGGGGTTTCGCCATGTTGCCCAGGACAGTCTTGAACTTCTAGGCTCAAGCAATCCTCCCACCTTGGCCTCCCAAAGTGCTGGGATTACAGGCGTGAGCTACCATGCCCAGCCCAAAAGTGGCTTCCTAAAGACCAAAATCCAGTACGTTTTGGCTTAAATTTTTATAAATGATGAAAAAAGAGCAAAACAAATGACAACTATCAACATAAAACAAACAAAAAAGCCTAAGTAATCCTTAATTTCAGACAAAACTATATTAAATTCTAATTAGGTTAGCTTTATTTTAGACATAAAGAGCTTTTAAGTACACATAAACTTTACCACTTAGTTCTAACCTCACATTAGGTCTTTCTAATCTAGCAGTAAAGAATGTACACTTTAAGTCAGGCAGAAGAGGGTTTGAATCCTGGCCTTGCCACTTCATAGACAGGTGGTCAATAGCCACAAATATGAAATTACCTAATCTCAATCTTTGAGTTCCTTATATGTAAAGTAGGTAGGAAAAATACCACCTACCTTGCAGGGTTGTAAACTACATGATATACACAGAATATAAAATGCCTCCTTAGTACAGAGCATGGTACATAGCACTTACACCATAGTAGGTGTTATTAATCTATCATTTTAAAAAAAGCTCACCATGAAAAAAGAAACAGCAGAATGTTTTCCACCCATACTTCATCTACACTATTTTTATTTTTCAAGATAAAATTCTAGAGTGAAAATCAGACTTTAAAAAAAAATCACTGTTTTCAGGGATCACCGTCTAGCTCCTAACTTTATATAAAGATGGATACATTTGTCGTCTCTATTCTTCATGAGAATTTCCCAGCTGTTGATCTATGAAAATTGTTTTTATTTTATTTTTTGAGACAGGGTCTCACTCTGTAGCCCAAGCTGTAGTACAGTGGCGTGATCTCAGCTCACTGCAACCGCCGCCTCCAAGGCTCAAGCGATTCTCAAGCCTCAGCCTCCTGAGCAGCTGGGACTACAGGCGTGCACCACCATGCCTGGCTAAATTTTTGTATTTTAGTAGAGATGGAGTTTCACCATGTTGCCCAGGGTGGTCCAGAACTCCTGAGCTCAGGCGATCCGCCAGCCTCGGCTTCCCAAAGTGCTGAGATTACAGGTGTGAGTGACAGTGCCCGGCTGAAAGTTGTTTTTAAAAAGTCACCTTTAGGGCTGGGCATGGTGGCTCATGCCTGTAATCCCAGCACTTTGGGAGGCCGAGATTACTTGAGGTCAGGAGTTTCAGAGCAGCCTGGCCAACATGGTGAAACCCTATCTCTACTAAAAATACAAAAATTGTTGGGGCGTGGTGGCAGGTGCCTGTAATCCCAGCTACTCGGGAGGCTGAGGCAGGGAGAGAATCGCTTGAACCCAGGAGGCAGAAGTTGCAGTTAGCTGAGATCGCGCCACCACACTCCAGCCTGGGCGACAGAGCTAGGCTCTGTCTCAAAAAAAAAAAAAAAAAAAAAAAGTTAGGCCTGGCACAGTGGCTCATGCCTGTAATCCCAGCACTTTGGAAGGCCGAGGTGAGGGGTTCACGAGGTCAGGAGCTCAAGATCAGTCTGACCAACATGGCAAAACCCCATCTCTTACTAAAAATACAAAAATTAGCCGGGCATGGTGGCATGTGCCTGTAATCCCAGCTACTCAGGAGGCTGAGGCAGTAGAATCACTTGAACCCGGGAAGCGGACGTTGTAGTGAGCCAAGATCGCACCATCGCACTCCAGCCTCGGTGACAGAGCGAGACTCCATCTCAAAAAAAAAAAAAAAGTCACCTTTAACAATTTTCTTCATTAGTCTGCTTTCACTTACTACCCAAGATTTACTTTGATTTTTTTTTTTTTGGTGGCGGGGGTGTTGGTTAGTTGGTTGTTTTTTTGAGACAGAGACTCACTCTCTCGCCCAGGCTGGAGGGCAGTGGTGCGATCTCGCCTCAGTGCAACCTCTGCCTCCCGGTTTTAAGTGATTCTCCTGTCTCAGCCTCCCAAGTAGCTAGGTACAGGTGCACGCCCGCCTGACCTCAAGTGATCCACCTGCCCTGGCCTCCAAAAGTGCTGGGATTACAGGAATGAGCCACCACACTTGGCCCAAGATTTACTTTGAACTAGTTAGTGAAAACCTTCCTGGGGAGACAAAGTTACAGATTCCAAAAATAAAACCACATAGGCATTTTTAGTAACCTATCAATCCTTCCTTTCTGAGCTTTATTTTTTCTATAACTCATGTAACTGTTTTCAGATCTAATTCCTAAATAAACATGCCATGACATTTTCTCAGCATCCTGATCTTTTCTGCATATGCCTTCCCATTATTTTCTAGCAATTCCTTGAAACTATTAAAGCCTGTTTTTCTAAATTCATTTCATTTTTTTGCAGACAATGTTCCTAATCTTTCCTTGGGGTCCCAAACACTATTAAACATTTGTGGCAACATTTATCATAGTTTTAAATCTCAGACCAACTACATCCAGGCAAATCACTGCAAACATCTGTTGTTATCTTTTCTACTAAGATCATTCTCCAAAATCCCCCAAAATGTGGGATAATCTGTAACTCTGCTACTGAAAGTGTAGTCAGGAACACTGGCATCACCTATGAGCTTGTCAGAAATGCAGACTCTTGCCCATCTCAGATTTAATGAGTCAGAATCTGCATCTTAATCAAAATCCCCAGAAATTCCTACCCACTTCAAGTTTGAGCAGCATTTTTGAATGATGAATTCTGACCTAGACAGCTTAACTAGAAAATTTAAATAATCACCAGAAATTCCTTAAAAATCATTTGATATGTCCAAGAAATGGTCTTTCATCTTTTCTTTCACATTTAGGAAAGTAAAATAGAAATGACATTACAACTAATGAAGACATCCATATTACTACTCATCAATTAAAAGGAAGTTTCAATAAAAATATTTATTGTTGGTTGTATTTAGATCAAATCGTTTTCCATACCAACTCTATACAGATTATATTTAAATATGACTAATTTGGTAAGGTTCTATTTCTTAACAGGAAGCATGGAAAAATTTCAAAATGACAAGCCAATGCTAAACATGTACCACTTAACCAAAAATATTTAGTTATACGACAGCTAGCTAGAACACCCAAGTCCTTCTGACCAAGCCAATTCAGGTACTTGAACAACAGCCAAATAAATAAGCACCATTCTAATCAATAGGTTCAAATGAAAACAGAATGTTTTGATAATATTTTGAGTATAACACATAACACACAAAATTTTCAAAAGTGATTTAGCTGATAAAAATAGTGGCCTTTTAAAACGTATTAATGGCTGGGTGTGGCGGCTCACGCCTGTAATCCCAGCACTTTGGGAGGCTGAGGCAGGCAGATCACGAGGTCAGGAGATCAAGACCATCCTGGCTAACACAGTGAAACCCTGTCTCTACTAAAAATACAAAAACAAAATTAGCCAGGTGTGGTGGCGGGCGCCTGTAGTCCCAGCTACTCGGGAGGCTGAGGCAGGAGAATGGCGTGAACCCGGGAGGCGGAGCTTGCACTGAGCCAAGATCGCGCCACTGCACTCCAGCCTGGGCGACACAGGGAGACTCTGTCTCAAAAAGAAAAGAAAAGAAAAGAAAAGTATTAACTTTGCTTAATCTACTTAAAAACCTAGGCTGAAACTGAAGTTTACAGACTTAAAGGATTCCTAACTGAAGTACAGAATAATCTCCCAAGAACACGCGTACAGGAATGTTTCCAAATTCTATTAAACAGTATTGAGATCTGCAATAACGCAGTATTTTTGTAACTAAGGAAATATTACCCCTTAACATACTTAAAAACTGAGCTCCTTTTCTCACCACCGTTACCATACTTGACAATACTGATTCTCACCTTTACCCCATGGGAAAGAATCTTAAAATGATCAAACTCCTTGTTATTTTAAAAGGCATGACTAAACTGTGTCTAATTTAATCTCTTGCCTCTTTTTTTTTTGGAGACAGCGTCTCACTCTGTCACCCAGGCTAGAGTGCAGTGGCAGGATCACAGCTCACTACAGCATCTACCTCCCAGGCCCAAACAATACTCCCACCTCAGCCTCCACGGTGGCTGGGACTACAGGTGTGTGCCACCATGCTCAGCTAAGTTTCTGATTTTTTGTAGAGATGGGGTCTCCCTATGTTGCCCAGGCTGATCTTGAACTCCGGGGCTCAAGCAATCCTCCCACCTGGGCCTCCCAAAGTGCTAGGATTACCAGCAAGAACCACCACCACACAGAGCCCCTCCTGCCTCTTAACAAATAGACATCTAGGCCTAAAAGTCACCATTTGGAATTTTAAGTAAACAGCTGAATAAAACACTACTCTTGCTTATGAGCTAGAGGAAATGTCTACACATGGTCTTGATTTTGGTCACAACTTTCAATTACAAGGAAATAGAAATTTAATTTCTTTTCATAGCTATAGACAGAAGATATCTCCCTAGGTGAATATAATATACTCCACAGGAAAATACCTAACAAAATCTTGTTATTTCTAAAACTAAACTAAATAAATTCGGGGCTTTTGGTACAGCTAAAGCTTAAGCAACCCTTTATTTTTGGAAGAAATACATCGCAAATCAGTGAGCTGCCCCACCTTTCATTCCACCTCCCATTCTGCAAACATCTAAAGATGCCCAAGTTTAGATATTTCTGCTGTTAGAACATTCCTTCCTGTTTCAGTGAGTGATCTTTTGATCTTGGAACAAAAAGAACATAACACAACAAGAACAGTAAATTCTGGAAAACACTAACCAAAAGGAAGTATACTGTTTACTCTTTATTACCTTGAAACAATAGGGTATTCACTTTTTCTTCCCCGTAACTCAGTTTAACAGTCTTCATTTGAAAGAAACAAGGCAGAATACATTACTAGTCCTTCTTAATGCTTTCTTACTCAATTTGTTTATAGACTATTAGGTCCCAATCATCTTCCTTTTAAATATTTTTTGCTATTAATGGCACTGATTACAGAGGAATCACACATTACTTCAAGTGAATTTCCATTCTGAGTTGCAGAACTTCTATGTTTTTGACTGGTGAGAAACGAAGTACACCCTCAAGAAAAATAAGTCATAAGAAAAACCACTGTATTAGGGCTACCTGCAAGAGAAGAGGAAATCTTATAAAATTAAGACACAAAGAGAGAACTCTTTATACAGTACTTCCTGTAAATTGGCAGTATCTCCCGATGATGCATCCAAACTGTCCAACAAAGCTTTCCTCAAATAATCCCCTCACCACTTCTCCTTCACTTGTGGCATGTCACATCGAGGGCACAAGGGCACTGGGGCAATAAAAAGCCTACTGAAAGCACTGTACAAGTGTTTACGTTTGCCCACCTCTGTAGATTCTCTAGGATCATTTCCAAAATGCCACAATTTCCTCACAAAAACGCTATTGGCAGCCTGTTATGCCACAGCCAATATTCCTATCTGCCACCTGTAGATCTAGTTCTAACCTCAGTCAAGCTTCCTGGCAATTTAATAAATCTCTGGGGAGTTCAGCCTTTTCATTTTTACTATCCTACTCCTTCACTACCTTCCTTAGAACAGGTACAGTATCTAGTACTAAATTTGAAGACAGAAACTCCATTTAACTACAAAAGCCTAAATCACATAACTACTAAATCTGTTTTGCACAATCAAACCCATCACACCCCACCCAAAATCACCAACACAACATTTTGAACATGTTAAATTTTATTAAAAATATTTAACATCGTACAAATATTCCAATACAGTTATGGTACATGAACACTGTACCAAAAGCATGATTTTTATTAAACTGATGATTAAATGGAAAAGGTCTTGCAAATGTCCCTATTTTGGTATTTCTTATGTTACTATATCCATATCAGCAATTTATGTTTGCAGGAGCCTTCAGTCCAATTATAGAAATAGTCTTAGAACATAGTACCTAACATTATAATGGGATTCACTAAGTACAAGTCTACCTACATTATCGAAGAGGCTAGAGAAGTCCCTTTTGCCCAACCCTCATATGTGAGAAATCAAGAAAAGCAATGTTCATGGGATCCTGACAAATCTACTATATAAAGTGAGAGCCCTTATTTAAATTTGAGCAATTTAAGTTTTTCCCCAGAATGTCTCCTTTGTTGGTTCCACAAAATGTATTTTGTTTTTAGTGTTTAAAGTCAACAAACTGGCATTGCATTTTCCTTAACTTACATAAACTCATCAGAATTACATGAATATTCCTACTGCTTACCTTAAAACTTCCTAAGGAGCATGCTATTTAGTGCTAAGTTTTATACCCTGATCCTTTCTGTCACTGACACATGCATAAAATGTTACCTTAACACAACCCTGCAATCACTACAATTCTTAAAAGTATTACATAATTTCATTCTAGTGTTGTACAACTAGTCTATAGCAAACTTACAAGTAAGGGTTTATATTCATGACACTGACTAGCACATTTAACATCTAGGAAAGTCTTTCTAGACTGATATTCTCAACCAATAAAGAAGATACAGTGCTGTAAGAATACTGAGAAGGTTCTTCAGGCATGAAAATCCATAATTACTTTTAATCAGTGTTTATACCATATTACAATTATTTTTTATATGGTATGGTCAGAAATGCCTAGTTACTAAATTTAATTTCAATCTATACCTTACCATCATGGAATCCCCTACAAACTATAAGATGAGGGATTTTAATCTTTAGCAATAATTTAAATATTGACTCTTAATTCTACCAATATCTGCTAATCCTATCAGCTACCCTAGCTTTCACACAAAACACAAGTTGTTCATAGGTTTATGTTTCTGCTATGTTCAAGGTCTTAATATTTCAGCTATGTAATTTCCTCTTGACCCAAAGTCATTGTCTCAACATATCTCTAAATTGAGGCCATTATTGTCAAACTGCTAAAACTTTTTAAAGTTTCATTTTACAGTGTTAAGATTACTTTGGAAGATTTTTAAAAATAGTATCTTTGGTGTTTAAGCCCTCCATTCTATCAATGTCTTCTTGTTTTCACTAAAATTAGTGTGCAATAAATATCTCTTTAAGATGCATTATATGTTAATCTATCCAACAAAATATAGAAAATATAATACTAGACTGAAATGACAGTTAAAGCAAATTTATTGTCTCTCCAAGAGACTTTTTAAGATTATAAGGTGTCTATTTTGCTCACTTAAAATATACCCTGAGTATTTCATTACTTCATACTTGCAGGCCTTTCCTGCTGATCTGCTACCAATTTAAAAGTAAGTGAAGTGTTATTATATGTTCCTATTAAGAACAAAATAATTTAATATTAAAGTCCTATTTTTCTACAAGGCTGACATAATTGCCCACTTATAGGATATGGGCATTCTCCCACACTTAATGCCCCACTACTGATAAAAAAAAAAATAGGAAAAAAAAGTTCTTACCAACAATTCCACTGGTTATCGTCCCCAGCGAACCCCACCTAGCAAGTCGACATCATGACATGTCAGGTCAGGGCAGCCTCAACCTCGCTTCCCTGATAGTCAGGTGATAAAAGGAAGGAGTTAAAACAGGAAAAGTACACTTGCAGATTTCTGGATAACATCTGAAAATGATTAAAAAAACAAAAAAACAAAACAAAACAAAACAAAACCAGAGCTTCTGGTAACCTCTAAATAAAAAAGTATATATATGTACTTTTATTTAAAGAAAAAAAACTTTTCTAGAAGGATTAACAATAATTAACTTCAAATTAAATATTATTAAATTGCTGACCAATACATTGTATATGCAATATTTTTAAAGCTTGGTGTTTGCGTTTGAAAATTAAGACCTAATCAACAAACTTCTAATATAAAAGTAAACATGTCTGGCTAATGGATTTGTTATTCTGGATTCTCCAGTCAGTCATCCAATCTACTGGTTTCCTCAGAACAACTCCACCCCTAAGTTAACAGAAGCTCCCATTCTTAGAGAAACATAAACACACTTATAAATCCAGTGTAGTCTTTCTATAAGGCTTTTTCTTAGTTGCTCACTTAAGAGATTCCACATAATAATTGTCCACATAATAATGGACTACACTAATATTAACTTTGGTTAGTTTTCTTTAAGAATATTGGTAGCTCAGTATAATAAAATTATCTTTGAAAAATCAAAATGACAAGTTTTAACATATTTAGAAGCCTTGATAATTGACAAGCAATAGCCTTATAGCAAGTATTTACTGGAAGGGTTTGGTTTTACAAATGCACAATTAATAAAACGTAGGTATGATTATATTCAAATGGGCAGGAGGCAAATGATGTAATGAGTTTCAAGAATAATATTATATGGCTTTATGCTAGGAGTGAAATTTTATGTCCCTTCTCTTTTAGAATTTAAAATATATAATTTATTTTTTTGCATGCTGACCTTTTTAAAAAGAATTCATCTCCTAAGTCAGATTTCAAAGTCAAAAGAGAGAAAAATTATCTCCTACTATCAGAAAGCATTGGGCTTTCTTATGCAGAATAACCCCAGTAACTAAAAAAACCTGAAAAACAATTATGCTGAACTCATTTTAAAAAAACTACAGAATCATAACTCATTTTCCTTATCTTTTCACCAAATAAACCTGCATTTATTAGAAATCTGGCAACTTATTAGAACTTTTTTGCTCTTAAAAATTAAAATACCTTCATATAAATACATACATTTAAGCAACTGCTATAAATGAGTGATCAAATAAAAATTAGTATTCCATTATGGGGAGGGGCATATTTGTATCGGTCTCACCAGGGTACCTACAAAGAATAGCTCTATACCTCAATATATTTCCCAACACACACTTTACTGTAACAGGCTCATAAATAAAGCCAAATCAATTAGCTTGGGGAACAAAAAAGATGGAAAGACAGGAGAGCAGGAAACCAAATTCCTTACACTCATAATTTGTACCTAATTTAAAAAAAAAAAAATGCCAATCTAGAATAAAGACCTCCCTCAACTGACATTTTTCAGGTTTATATATTACACTGTTAGATTTATTTATGTGAAAAGTTGAGCTCTGAATCTATTTTCTCTGAATGCTGCTACAGTGTTAATTTACAAGACATGAAAGAAGAAAAGCTCTTGAGTTTTAATGTTTATAGGATTATGCTTTACAATTTAAAATAGCCACAAAACCTATAAACCAAATATTAGAGGGTACCTCTGCAAATATATTTTTAATTAGTGAAAAGGACAGAGGAGGAGGTGGCCACTTTAAAATTCAAAATATAATTTGCAATTAAAGGAAAGGATTTTGACATGGAACCCAAGTTTTAATCTTATGTTTTTGCGAGGGTTTGTTTTCTCAGAATCATTTCTATCCCCATTCTTAGCATTCTTTATGACAACTTTGTAGCTTGTAACACCTAATTAAGAAATACAAACAACTCAAATTTTATTTGTAGATTTTGTTCTTTCCAGGAAAAAAATCAGGGTTTTACTTAAGTCTAATTAGATGTATAGTTACAACTTCAAATTGTACTTTCAAAGTTTAAAAGCAGCATTTAAAGAATGTTTGGTGTCTTTACTTGCATACATGGGCATAAGAAAAACAACTGGATCTGTCTTACCAAAGAAATACCCATGTTAACTCAAAACTATCATACAACAGACCATAATTCCTTTATCAGTTTCCAAAAAACTAAAATATCAATAAGGTCTGTTAAATGACTATACTGTGTAATGAGTGTACTTTGAAAAAGAAATGAAATATATTGACTTTCATCAGTAAATAGTAATCTTAAATTGAAATGAAAAGAAGCCATGAAACCCAATATGATCTAGCCAAGATTACACGGAATTAAGTGGCTTATGATTTTGAAATCTAATATTCCTATCACAAAGACACCAAACAGGAACAAAACACAGAATAATGGTGTATCCATTTTAATTATTCCCCAATGGCTTCTGATATTTTTATCATTATAAAAACATTTGAGAACCACGTAAGAATAAGATGGAGGGGAAAACTTAATAGTAATTTGAAAGTGATTCACTTTTCTGTACCGTAAAGCTTAGATTCTTTTGTTCCTCTCATTCTCAAGCAAAAAAGTCATTAGAATAAATCAGAATTTCTAAAGGAAATAGGGAAATAGATGTTATGTCTTGGCCAACAAAAAATTTGGGCATCAGGGATAGCAGATAAATAAAAATAAACGAAGTGTTAACAGAAAGTCAAAGGTATTACTACTGGATATTTTTAAGCCTCTCTTACAAGGCATGAATGTTTCTCAAAGCAAATTTACATAGTAATAGGAAATTATATTCCTAAACCAGTAACTGAAATGGTAGTCACGATCATTTTCACTAAAACTAAAGTCCGCAGTGCAATTGACGCCACAGTACTAACAATTTTCCCTGTATGTACATTCACTTATCCAGCAAATAAGGTCTTCAGTCACAAATTATCCCTTATAAAGAATGTGGGTCAAAATAAATTGCAGTCTGCTTTCCCAGCCACATTTTATTTGTTTTAATGCAAATTATCCAATGCCTGCAAGAATGCTCAAAAGTCTATGAACCTGTTTTTTTTTTTTTAATAAAAGATAAAATTTCAAAATTAGAAGAGACTATGAGAGAACACCAATCAATGAAAGTGCTAATTGGAATAAATACTTGAATTTAGACTAATCCTCAGTCTAATATCCACAACACATGTTGGAATAAACAAGAAATTTTGCATGAATTTGATCACTCACATAGGCAGTTATACTTTGAAAACAATATTCCTTGCAAGGATTACGAATAAAATAATGTTTTAGGACACAATTGAATTTGAAATAGGTAATGTTTTGAATAGATTTTTTAGTTTTATTGAAATCTTACATGAACAAGAAATTGGAAATACAATCACATCAAAGAACAAATTGTCACGGCTTTTGACGTTTAAGCCAAACAAATTTTGTAGGGCAGATTTCAAAAAGGTGTGAAGTTATAACAATTTAAAAACACAGTTAACCTACTTCTAGGAATGCAAAACATACAATCATAGGTTATTTTCAATACAAGAAAACTTAAATTTGTTTGCTTTAATTTCTTAAAACTACTAAGACAAAGCACTAGCTTGTATTTTTATTTACAGCATACTCCATACTCCTATGTAATCTATCCCAAATCCAAAAAAATGAAACTGTCCAAAACCAAAGGTTCTGCAAAATCATGATTTAACAGTGTGCCCAGCTTGTTTTGAAGCTAAAATGAAGCCTGAAACGATAAAAGCATTGTAATCCCCAGAATAAGGGAACTCTGCAAGCCCAATAATGTCCAAGAGCATTTATGAAAAGAGGAAAAATAAAAAGACTTGAGTATATACACAATAGTGATTTCTTCAGCCCAATACAAATGGCAGCAAAATGCTACTTAAAGATGAAACAGTTAAGCCAATTTTTTTTTTTGAAGAATGTAGATCTAGAGCCAATCGTATCTTGCCAGTATCATTTTCAAGCCCTTACTTGTCTACTTCCACTGTTGCCCATAAGTATCCTGATAAAATTCCTGGTTGTCATTATTGTAACCATAGTTACCAGAATAGTCACCACCTTGCTGAAGCGGCTGCTGAGCGATGGGTTGGGAACCCCAGTTCTGTTGGTTGTTGGTCTGACGACGCTTGGAATCAGGCTGGTTGTACCCATCTGCCTTTCTCTTGCCTCCTACATTGCCCCCACGATTGCCCCGAGATCCACGGGAACCACGGCCTCTCTGCTGTTGAGCAGGACCCCCTCTGCCACCCCTAGAGCCTCTTGGTGGTCCCAAAGGTGCCCCCCTCTGTGAATAGCCAGCTCTACCTCTTGGAGGTGGTGCTCCCCTCCCCCTTGGTGGTGGTGGAGCACCTCGCCCTCCCCTTCCTCCTCCTCTTCCTCTTACTGCATAGCCATCATCATAGCCGTAGTAGGGATCTTCATAGCCTCCACGATAGTCGTGATAATCATAACCATAGTAATCATCATAGTAATCTTCATAGCCGTAGTAATCTGGAGGGTAGCCATATCCACCTCTCCCCCCACCACGACCCCGACCTCTAATTGGAGGTGGCATGCGAGGAGGAGGGTGGTAGTAATAATCTTCATACCTAGCAAAGTAGAGAAGGGAGAAAAGAAAAAACAAATCAGTTTGCTTCAAGACTCTGATTTTGTTTTATTAATCTGATCTCCATTATCACGTTATTCCTTGTCCAAAGATATATCTACTAAAATGTAGACTCACGCAGTGCTTCTGGAGGCCTGTCTAGCAGCTTGGCGCTCTTTCCTTTTCTTGTCTGGTGGCTTGGCTAAGACTATTTCAATTTCTTCCCCTTCTATTTCTTTGCCATTCATTTCATCCATAGCCTATAAAAAATTAGAAAAATTATTTTACAACGATATAAAACTGTATTTTGTTTTATATAGTATGTAAGCTATTATACTTGTGTAATTTAATACACTTAACAATTTACTTCACAATTATTTTAAATGGCAAAAGGTGAATCTAGCCAGAAAGTTAAACACAAACACACAAAGAAAATACGTTTCCCTTGACCTTATCTTTTTATACATAAATTACATTTAGAACAAAACCGACCACCTGATATTATATTTTAAAAGGTAAAAGGGCTGCCACCTATTGCTGCTCCTTAATTCCAAATAACTCCTTAAAAGATAAGCCATACCAAAGAAGCAAATCCATACCGGGGAAAAATGCCAGTATTAATACGAGCCAGACAAAGATTAACTTCTCAGGATTAGAATTTTAAAATAAACATGTAGCATACAACATACAGGTCTTCCACTGTTCTTATACGACAATTTCAAGGATTTGAAGCACAAATGAGGTTACTGAGTGAGATTATCTGTAAAATTCAAGAAGATACTAACACAAAAAAGCCTAGGTTTCCCTCACAATGCTTAACCCAAAATGTACTTTGCTTGAACAGTTAAAAGTACAGAGCCAGAAAAGGCCTGGACTAATGAAGACTCAAGCAATTATGTAGAAAGCAGTAATCAAACATTCCATGTTCTAGCCCTTTGTTCACGTTGTTCCACCTAACAACCTCTGCCATACATCAAAAGGTTCAGGTACTCAGTAACAAAATGTCACCTCCTCATGATATTTTATTTTTTGTTTCCCTATACCTTTCCCCACTCTGGGCACACATAAAAAAATGTTCTATTGGAGCTATCAGTGATTTATAAGTATCTAGACAAAAACGAAACTAGTCCTCAAGACTGCAATTTTCCCTTTTACCACCTCAGCTTTGCGTTGCTTCAGTTAAAGCAACTAAACAAGTTTACAAAAGCTTCCTGGCATAAATTAAAAAATGAAACATCTACCCTCTGCCCTGACCATCCTGGTGACTCCCAGTTCCTGGACTAGATATTTTATAATTTCATAGGCTTCTTTGGCAAACCATCCTATAAATATTTTCAATCAGGACAACCAGTTATTTGAAACCAGTCGAGTCAGGAGGAATATTTAGACAGCATAAAATTATTAGTTATCTGCATTCTATACCAGTGAAATTTCAGAAGCCACAAATGAACGGATAAGAGTATAACAGCATAACAGATAAGACTCCATACTTCAAAGCCAGATTATTACTGAGTTTGTGATCTTGGACAAGTTATGAATTTTATGAACAATACTGCCTCATTAATTAGCTACCATCAATGAGCAAGCCAATTAATTATAAACCAATCAGGGATTCTATAAAGCCTGTTTTAAAAGCAGTAGCCTGGGCAAAAAACAAAACCAAAAAATGCTCAGATTAGAGATGGCAGTATCCCACCGACCAAACATGCAGAAAAAGAACCATGCCTGTGTCACTAAGCATTCTGGATCTATCTTCCTAATAACATAAATAAGATTTTAGTAGTGTTTTGTCTTGCTCCCACCCCCCCAAGGAAGGAGAGATGAATAAAAAAAAGAAACTGAAAATTTCACCCATTAAAGATAGTCCTAAACCATTGTCGATAGAAAGCAGGTTTTGTGTTCCAGATACCATATGAAAATACTTTCTTCAAACTTTTCATTATCATCAAAGACTAAATCAACTATTATACACAAGTGATATCTCTAACAATTACCGAAATCAGTAAAACATAGTGAATGCTATTTTAACTCTAAAATGATTAAATAAAGGTAAAACTAATCATACCCTCAAAATCTATCTACTCAATTAAACATGGTATACTGTATGAGTCATGTACACCACTCAGTTTCCTTCATAGGTACACAAACTGAGGTCAACTAAGTAGTTATAATGCATTCATTACCTATTCAGTGTTTACAGCAGCTAATTTTTATACCTTGTAATACTTCCAAGGCATCATGCTATCGAATCTTACAAAACAATACAGAGATTAAAAATAACTTGCCTAAGATCACAAACTCAGTAATAACCTGGCTTTGAAATATGGAGTCTTATCTGTTACATACTATTACCACTTTACAGAGATTAAATAGAAAGAGTTCAGCAAAAGCTGACAACCAATATTGTTTCAGTTTTTAAAGTTACTTTGTGTTTGGCAAGTTTCAAAAACAAAATTCAAATATCAAGAACCAAAATTTCAAAATTCCTACCTTAACAGCTGCTCCTCTGTCTTCAAAATGAACAAATGCATAATCTTTCAACTTCTTTACTCTTTCGAGTTTTCCAAATTCAGAAAATGACTTTTCCAATATTTCTTCTGTCACCGTAGTAGCCAAGTTTCTCACAAACAAAACTTTTACCTAGTAAGCAACAAATAAACAAAACCGTCATTGGCTACTTAATTTTACCTGAAAAGTGTTTCTTCCTGTCTTCATAGCATAGCTTTTCTCCTCTAAAACATTAAGTGCTAAAAGTGTTGTTACAGGTAGTAAGAGAAATTGCTAGGAAAATGACACTGATATCAGTCACCAATTTACAAAAATTATTGGTTCCTGCCTTCTCCTATGTTGTCATTAAAGCACCTAACACTGAGTAGAACCTTCAAGGAACCAACACATAATTATTATTACCAAGTTAATCAACAAAAAGTCCCTTTCAAAACAAGTTTTTCTGTTTCTTTCCTCTAAAACTGAGTAACTTTCAAAAGTTCATATGAAAAAATAAATAAGCAAGAATAACCAGGAAAAAAAAGAGTGAAATTTAGAGGCTGGCCCTACCAAATATAAACAAACTATAATGCTTAAATCATTAAATCAGGTAGTGTTAAATTAGAAAAAAAGGAGAAAAGCTGGTCCATGCCTTACACTATACACAAGGATAAACTCCAAATAGATTGAAAATTTAAATAATAAAAGGGTGGAGGGAGGACTGTGAAATTTTAGAACAAGAATGATTCCTTTATATAACACTGGAGTGGGGATGACCTTATGACTTAAAATCTAGGAGCCATAAGAATGTTATACTCAACTACTAAAAATAAATGACTTCTATATGGCAAAAAAATACTATAAGCAAAGACAATAAATATGGATGAAAAATTTGCAACATGTATCACAAACAGCTAATCTCTCTTTTATATCAGAGCACCAGAAAATAACAAAAAGCTCAACAACTGAATAGAAAAATAGGCAAAATTCCTGAATACATGGTTCATACACAGAAACACATATGGCTCTTAAAATATATTTAAAGTTCAAACCATTCATAGTAAGAGAAGCAAATCATTAATCATTAATGGCACTGAGACATTTGTTATCAGGCTGGCAAAATTCAAAAGTTTGATTATACACTATTTTGTCAAGAATGAGGAAAATAATTCTCTTGTATTTTGCTGGTAGGAATGTAAAATAGTGTATCTCCTACAGAAAGGAATATGGCAGTATCTTAACAATTACAGATATATCTACCCTTTGGCCCACAATTCTACCCCTAAGAATCTATCCTACAGATATATCTCCACTTGTATCAACTAACATAAGCTTATTCCTTCCAGCACTGTAAGAGCAAAAGATTAGAAACAATATCCAGCTGGTTAAATACACTATAGTACCTCCACAGAATAGACTACTATGTAGTCATAAAAAATGAAGAAGAGGGCTGGGCGCGGTGGCTCACGCCTGTAATCCCAGCACTTTGGGAGGCCGAGGTGGGCAGATCACCTGAGGTTGGGAGTTCAAGACCAGCCTGGCCAGCATGGTGAAACCCTGTCTCTACTAAAAATACAAAAATTAGCCGGGCGTGGTAGGAGGCACCTATAACCCCAGCTACTCGGGAAGCTGAGGCAGGAGAATCACTTGAACCCGGGAGGCAGAGGCTGCAGTGAGCCAAGATTACACCACTGCACTCCAGCCTGGGTGACAGAGCAAGGCTCCGTCTCAAAAAAAAAAAAAAAAAAAAAAAAAACAAAAACCCAAAAAATGAAGAGGAGCTCTATGAGTTGTAGGATAGGACAACTTACAGTCAATGTGATAAGCAAGTACTGTGCCATAGTTTAGTTGGCAGTGTTTTTTAACTATTTAGTAGTACATATAGTAATGATGTATTTCCTCAGAGCTGATGAAACAGGATGGTGAATAAACAAAAGGTAGATCAGTGGATATGGTAGGCTACCAACATTACTACCACTCATCTAAGAATTAAGGAAGTATATCCATATTTGCCGAAGGAAATACTAAAAGGAAACCAGCAACTATTAAAACTGGATGCCTTATAGGAGACAAAGGGGATTTGGTAGACACAGGGATAGGGGTAGAAAGGAAATTTCTTTGTCTATACTTTTCTATATAACTTTTGAACTAAGAAAACATAGTACCTATCCAAATAAAAAACTAACATATTGAACAAATTGTTGCTTCAGATAAAGGGCTATCTAATAAGAAGATACTAATTTAAGGAGGAAAAAAACTAACATTTTCCACAAACGCTCCATCCCCTTTATTATTCTCAATTTGTCATACTAAGGTCCAGCCTCTATGTTACACAGACTCCCACTGGTTTAGTTGCTTTTTAAAAAAAATTCAACATGGACTTTTCTATGATGAAACGATAACATACTATGTGAAAATTACTTACTGAAATTGTGTTTAAAATGTTCAACAGGAAAAAGGGTCCCTTTAAGAGACATATATTTAGGCTTTTAGGTTATGGTACATTGTAAAACTGACCCAACTTGGCAAAAAAAATCTTCAGTGAATTGTAAATTGATAGTGTGAATAACAGAAGCTTTACTCAAATGGATAAACTTTTCTTTTCAATTAGGAAACAATAAAGGAGCTGGATGGGGTTGCAAGCACCCGGGAGGCTGAAGCAGGAGGGACGCTTAAGCCCAGGAGTTCAAGGCTGCAGTGTGCTATGACTGCACATGTGGGCAGCTACTGCACTCCAGCCTGGGCAACATGAGACCCCATCTTTTAAAAAAAAGAAACAATAAAGGGCTCCATAATATTTAATCCTAAGTTTATAGAGACCTCCTTTTCATTCTGAAACCTGTTTTAGATCTAGGAAAAAGGAGTTACCAGAATGAAATCTTGAAGTTTTCTAACCCTAAAAAAAGATTAGGATGAACTTCCATCTGAGCAGTTACTAAAGGTTATGTGAGAAGTGGCTGGTAAGCAAATTACAAGCTATACTTTTGGTTTTCATGGGATTTTATTCCTCTTTTATAATATTTTATTCCTCTATTATAATACATCTATAATACTATTTTAAAATATTTTTACAGAAAAAGTAATACAGGCTATACTTAGTTACTACAGGTAGATTCAAAGTTGTGGTGGATCTTAGAGATTGATCCAGGCTCAATAAAATAGATGACATTCATGTTCAGTAGTTTACCCAAAGTCATAGTTGTATTAGGAGAAGAAACAATAGGAATTAAAATCAAGCTAGTAAAAAATCAAAATAAAAACTCAGAGCTATTTAAATTCTCTATCCCTTTCCTAGACACCCATCTACTCAAGGAATATGAGATAAAAGATACTGAGTAGCACTTCTGAGAGCCTCTCTGGTTCATTCTGAATAGAACTTATCTGATTAACCCAAAGATGTCACTGCCAACCCAGACTTTATACAAGTATAAACCAGAGTTCTCCTCCAAACTACTTAGAACGAGGGTTTGCCTCCTCAAATTCTGGAATAAAAACCTTGACTTCTGACTTATCAAGAAGAATCCAACCATTAACTCATGGCCATTCAGAGTTGCTGCCTCCCTGTGAAGGGAAGAGACAACTAAAATGCTCAAGAGCTCATTGCAAGCAGCAGAAATGCAACTCTGAGGCCGGGCGCAGTGGCTCACACCTGTAACCCCAGCACTTTGGGAGGCCGAGGCGGGCGGTTCACAGGGTCAGGAGATGGACACCACCCTGGCTAACATGGTGAAACCCCGTCTCTACTAAAAATACAAAAAATTAGCCAGCTGTGGTGGCGGGCACCTGTAGTCCCAGCTACTTGGGAGGCTGAGGCAGGAGAATGGCGTGAACCCAGGAGGCAGAGCTTGCCGTGAGTGGAGATCGCGCCACTGCACTCCAGCCTGGGACAAAGCAAGACTCCATCTCAAAAAAAAAGAAATGCAACTCTGATGTGTCCCAGGAGTCGCCCAAAGGAAAACTTAAGAACCAGTACTCAAGGCACCACTATTAAGATCCTGGCAACGCAAGTACAGGAATCAGGAGGGAATTGAGGGCCCTTTACAGGACTTGCCATGCATATTTTGCCACTAACAAATAAGAGCAAACATGACAATCTTTTGCCTTTCTTCATGGGGACAATACACTAAGGGAATCTGATCATTTAAAAACAAGAGGCGGGGCACGGTGGCTCATGCCTTAATCCCAGCACTTTGGGAGGCCAAGGCGGGTAGATCATGAGCTTAGGAGTTCGAGACCAGCCTGCAATATGGTGAAATGCTGTCTCTACTAAAAATACAAAATTTAGCCGGGCATGGTGGCAGGCGCCTGTAGTCCCAGCTACTTGGGAGGCTGAGGAAGGAGAATCGCTTGAACCTGGGAGGTGGAGGTTGCAGTGAGCCGAGATCGTACCACTGCACTCCAGCCTGGGCAACACAGCAAGACTCTGTCTCAAAAAATAATAATAATAAATAAAATATTTTTAAAAATAAAAACTACAAAAAAAGCTTAAAAAAAGAAAAATTAGCTATAAATCTAAATAAAACATAATTCATGGCCAAGTAATAAAGTCATAATATAGTCAATGAAGATTATAACTTATAATCTCCAAAACATTACTTCTCTCTTTACTCAGGACTTTTAAAAAAAAAAAAAACCTCTATCCCTCACAGTGCCTAGCACTAAACAAACACCCAGTGTGTATGGGACTACTTAATTGAAGGAATTTCATTTCAGTTCCTTTTGCACATTTAATCTGCAGGAAAAGGGATTGTTAATGGAAATTCCTGGATACCAAGACAGGCTGTTAACTTTAGTGTTAAAGCCGCTCCTTGCCAAACAGTTGAAGTCTAAAGCTACAATTTCTATTTATCATAAAACTCAAAATATTTGAGCTTTATTCTGAGTACAAAATTTAAATGATGACCCTATGCCCATTCCAAGCAACTGTATTTACCTTAGCCATGACTTCTGGATCTGGTTCTTCCACAGGGTCAGCCCATTCAACTGTAACTACATTTCCCCACACTTTTACTTTTCCACTCATCAGCCGGCGTCTGGCTTGTGCTGCTGACTTGTGATCCTCATATTCAAGGAAGCAGAACCCCCGATTCTTCTTTTTGTCATCGGGTTGATGATAGAGAATAACGTCCACCAAACCCTCTGTTAAACCAACAGCCAGATATATAAGCCAAAAGCATCCACCACACATCTAGCGATTAGGCAGACCTAAATCCACTTGACGATGAGCAAAATATAAGTGAAGCAGCCTCAACATGAGTCACTAATTTTGTAGACAATTAGATCAACATAATTAGATATGGGGTTTGGGACAGTATTTGATGTTCCTTTTTAATTTTAGGGGTTCTGAAGGTACAGCCATATACAACAAATCTACTATATTCTGACATTTAACATGCTACAATGTTTTAGAGCGTTTGATATAACATGACTTTATTAAAGCACTAACAAGGATCTTAAAAACAAAATTAGTAATATAAACCCAAGAGAACTAACTTTTGACAACTAATCATGGCCAAAAATCTTCCTTGAAGCTAACTTAAAAGTTACTATTTTTACCAAGAATGGAAGTGATCACTAAATATTAGTGTTCCTCTGGTCTTAGTCCTTTGCCCTTATCTCTCCGTATGTGTTCTTTCTAAATAATGTCAGCTAGCCCTACTTTTAAATGTTACCTATACCCTTATAAATACTTAGATTTTTTTCCTACCCCAGACTTCTCTAAGCTCTAGATGTGCCTACGTTCTTACCCGATGTATCCTCTTTGATGTCTTAGACATTGCAAATTTAACTTTTCCAAAACTGAACCACCATGGCCAAAATCTGCCTTCCCTAGACTTCCTATCTAATAAACAGTGCCATCCACCTGGTTCTGAAGCCAGAAATTGGTTAGCCATTCTTGATTTCTTCCTTCATCTCTCCTATCCAATTCCAAACTCATTTACTTCTTTCTATCTCCACTGCTATTACCCTAGTCTAATCCTGTATCTGTACTAGTATGACAGCTTCAACTAATTTATCAGCTTCCACTCACACCCCTTCTCTCCAAGCCCCTATCCACAGAGCGCTAGGAATAATATCCCATAAACAAGAAATAGGTGTTATTTCCTGCTTAAAACCTTTAAATACCTTCTCATTATATATACAATAAAAACCCAACTCCTTACATGGCCTACAGAAGCCCTGCCTACTTCATTTCATACAACTCTACTCCTAATTCTACCTTTTAATAATACTGGCCTCCTCAGTTACTGTAATATACTGACTTCTTTCTTGCCTTGGAACCTTGGCACGTGTTGCTGTCTTGGAATGCACTTCCTTTTGCTCTTTGTATGCTACAACCTCTTCATCCTTCAGGTGCTGGTTGACATGTCATCTTATCAGAAAAGTCTTCCAAAACCATGGAAACAGGGATAGTAGCTATTCTCTAGCTAAATATCCTGTATTTCCTGCTTCAGTGTCTTATCACAATGTCTAAATATTCCTTTAATTTTTATTTTTTATATTCTTGGTCTTATCTCCTTTCTCAGGATATAGGATCTATGAAAGCAGAGAATATGTCTCTTAGCCATCAGTGTATCCCAGGCACATAGCACAATGCCAGCACTTAACAGGAACTTTAATAAACACCTGCTGAAAGAATGAATAAATGATCATGAAGCCAGAAGGAGCTATAGATAATAAAGTGATGAGGTCAAAGAACTGTGCCAGCAGTTGACAACACAATACTTGACAACACAATATAGCGGGTGGTAGCAGTGGTTACAAAGTGGGACGCTAGAAATCAAGAGTTCAGAGTGCATAGAATTTCTGGTGACTAGATCCAGAATGTAATCTGGATATGGTGGAGCTGAAGTAAAGGACTAAAGATGAGGTAGACATAGAAGTAGGTAGGAGTCTAAAGCCCTGGATGGTTCACCAATGTAGATGTTAAAGGTATTAGAAAGAAGCCAATTTAGGGCAGAAGAGGAAGACAGTGAGCCAGAAGCAATCTTTAGATTAATGAAAGGCTGAAACCACAAGAGCAACGAATGACAGCTTCAACAAAAGGGAAAGGATATGTCTGGATGATAAAAATGTAAAGAAACAGTGGTTTTTACAAGGGGAGGCAGCGGTCTAACGCAGTGTTTTTAAATCATAGGTAGTATTAGATCACAATTGGCATTTTAAAAAATGAAATAGAATAAGAAATATCAAAATAAATCATGTATAATAAATAAAAGTACAGTTTTGTTAAATTGTTTCAGTTATATATAAATGTGTATAGAACTGTGATATAAAATCTACTTCTCAATCAATTCCATGGATTTAGAATTGGATATTTAAAAAAATCTGATCAGCCAGGCACTGTGGCTCACGCCTGTAATCCCAGCACTTTGGGAGGCCGAGGCGGGAGGATCACCAGAGGTCGGGAGTTCTAGACTAGCCTGACCAACATAGAGAAACCCCGTCTCTACTAAAAATACAAAATTAGCCAGGCGTGGTGGCACATGCTAGTCCCAGCTACTCGGGAGGCTGAGGCAGGAGAATTGCTTGAACCAAGGAGGCGGAGGTTGCAGTGAGCCGAGATCGTACCATTGCACTCCAGCCTAGGCAACAAGAGCGAAACTCCGTCTCAAAAAAAAAAAAAATCTGATCTAGACAAGGCAGCAGGGAGAGAGTAAAAACTTTCATCCTCTTGGTCCTAAAATACACTAATTGTCAAGGGGAAAAAAAGCATTCACTTGAGGGCTATAGAGCAAAAGCTCCAGCAAAAGCCAAGGTTCAATTAAGACAAAGAAGTGAAGGGGACATTCCAAGAAATGAAGGATATAAGGGAACTTGCTTAAACCCAAACCACTATAAAGCAGAAAGGAAGCAATTTAGATACTTCAGACCTGAATTCTTAATTTAATACATACAACCCCTCAGTTTTTTTGAGCACTTGTAAGTAGTACAACATATTTCGCAAAAGTAATTTCTAAATACATTTTTGTTTTACCTGTGACTTTACTGAATTCTTCCAAAATGTTTTCTTTAGTCTTATTCTTCGGAATGGATCCAACAAAAAGTCTGTTGTTTGCCACAGAAATGCACACTCCAAGGTGTTTACCAGGGCGAATTTCATAGCTGTCACACTGCAATAAGAAAAGAACCAGAGACCCCAAAACCACCCCAAACTCAGGACAATTGATCTTAATCTAAAAAATTCAACAATTTAAGGCCAAACGCTCCCTGCTTCATCAACTCACCAAGTTCCCTCATGCTTTCCATAATATGAATGTATATTTTAAACTTCATTGTTACAGTCTCTTGTTTTAGTTTGGTTTTGTTAACCTTCACTACTCTTCCATATAAAAAGGACTCACTTTATTGTTTAAAATATCTTATTTCATATTTTAATTTTATCTATCTGAAAATGTTTTTCCACAGATTTTTCAGAAAAAAATACCTGAGACTGATCATTCAGGGTCCTTGGAAATGTAATTGCATATAGGTAAGCCATACTCAAAATAACAATATGTAAAGGGTAACAACTATGTTTAATCAATGCAAAGATATTAGAAAAATTTCAAATTCTACAGAAGTCACAGAATTCTAAATATATAGTTTTAAATTGTCTACCAAACACAATACTTTCAAAATTTTATAAAATTTTGAAAAATGTTTTATTTAAATCACTATAGTGGATTTTCTTGATAAATTGTAGCCCTTTTTTTTTTTTCTTAAGATGGAGTCTCGCTCTGTCATCCAAGCTGGAGGGCAGTAGCATGATCTTTGCTCACTGCAACCTCCACCTCCTGGGTTGAAGTGATTCTCCTGCCTCAGCCTCCCAAGTAGCTGGGACTACAGGCGTGCGCCACCACGCCCAGCTAATTTTTGTATTTTTAGTAAAGACAGGGTTTCACCACGTTGGCCAGGCTGATCTTGAACTCCTGACCTCAGGTGATCTGCCTGCCTCAGCCTCCCAAAGTGCTGGGATTACAGGCGTGAGCCACCACACCTGGCCAATTTTAGCTTCTTATACTTTAATATTATTTAACCATTAGTTTACTAAGAGATATGATTATTAAAAATAAAATCATCCATATGCTGCCAAAAATGAAAACTTAATATTAAATAAACAAGTTTGAAGAAAAAATCCATAATAAAAACTAAAATCTGGGTCAAGCTAGGAGTGGAACTAATTCAGACACCAGTAATGAAACCAAAGCCTTGATGAAAGAAGTTGACCATTCTACAAAGGCTAGAACTAGACTTAGTGAGGTCCTCAGAAGTCAGGCAAGGGTATGCCAAAAAATAATTACATTGTTATTTTAAGATACTGAGATAGCTGTGTCTTAAATACAGCAGGAGTGAAGATACATTTGATTTGCAGAACTTTGTTGCTACTACTACTGGTCTGAAATGAGCACCAAGTGGTTAAAGGCCCTAGAGAAAGGAAATTAATATGAGACTGGCTATAAATAGTAGGAGAGGAGAGAAAGATTAAAGACAGAGAAGACTCAAGGGCCAAGAAACATACAGGAAGAACAAAAATACACTTAGAAAATATGAAATAAATCGTATGAGTAGGCTGTAACCAAAATAAAACAGATTCACAACTATTTTCTGAATTGAATCCTAAGTCACTGTCATCCACTATTATGTTCCCCACAGCCCATTCCAGTCTTCATTATACTTTAAGAATCCTAAAGTTTAACATCAAGAATTGACATCCTTTTGCCTAAAACCAAAAGACAGAAATGCATAAGCCAAATACTCATATGAAACTTCTGATATCAATCTAATAGATAACTTCTTAAATCAATGGGAGACTTTCTATAAAACATTACTTTTTGGGTATTTTCAGTTCTTTTTTACTTTTATAGTCAGAGAAAAATAAACGTCACATACCAACTTGGTCAGTATAAAAACATTCCAAGCAACAACTGAAGAAATCAAAATAATGTTAACTACAAACATTTTTGAATTAAAGTTTATTTCCTCAAATAGTGACTTGCTAAGACAGTGGATAATTATCACATACCAGTTTCACGGCTTCCTGTGCAGCTTCCTTTCCACAGAAGGTGATAAATGCATACCCTCTATTCTGACCGGACAGTGGATCCATCATAAGACGTAGATCCCAAATGGGTCCGGCCTTCTCAAAAAGGGGCACCAACTCATCCTCATATAAATCCCTTGGTATTTTGCCTACAAATACCTGAAATAAAACCCCCTTATTAGAATCCAACATAAGCATTTGATTTTAGAGCCATAAAGCCTACTGCCTTTTTTTTTTAAAGATGGGGGCAGAAGAAGATGGTTAAGAAAGAATGGAAACAATCTGAAACTTACAGTTGACTTGCAGAGCTAATCCTAATTTTTATTATAATGACCTTAGGGTTATCAAAGAACAAGTCTCTTGAAAAATGGAAACTAATAAGAGTGTAAAATTTGTATTTACTCTAAATTTTAAATTTTTATAACTTGACTTTTTCTCATAAAAACAGAATAAAGGAGGCTGGACGCAGCAGCTCACGCCTGTAATCCTAGCACTTTGAGAGGCCAAGGAAGGCGGATCACTTGAGTCTAGGAGTTCAAAACTAGCCTAGGCAACATGGCAAAACCCCATTTCTATTATTTAAAATTAAAAAATTAATTTATAAATTAAAAATAAAAATGAATAAAAATAAAATAATTGAATAAAAGATTGACATAGCTCTCCTCAAGTTATCTCCTCAACTCTAAAATCTTTACTACTTAAAAAGCAACCTCGGCCGGGCGCGGCAGCTCACGCCTGTAATCCCAGCACTTTGGGAGGCCGAGGTGGGTGGATCACAAGGTCAGGAGATCGAGACTATCCTGGCTAACATGGTGAAACCCCGTCTCCACTAAAAATACAAAAAATTCTCCGGGCATGGTGGCAGGCGCCTGTACTCCCAGCTACTTGGGAGGCTGAGGCAGGAGAATGGCGTGAGCCCGGGAGGTGGAGCTTGCAGCGAGCCGAGATCGTGCCACTGCACTCCAGCCTGGGCAACAGAGCAAGACTCCATCTCTAAATAAATAAATAAATAAATAAAAAGCAATCTCAATATTTTTCAGAAACTCCAGTGCTTCAATCTATTCCTCTCTCTATCCAGATATTAAATATTAAATTTTAAGGTATGAAAAAAAACCTCTTCACCATTTGAAGAATTTGTGATCTTTAATTACAAAATTATATACGATTAAATTATAATATACAATGATAAATTAAAAATTATACAGTCAAAAACCCTCATTTGATACCAGATTACAATTTTCTTCAAGTTTTTCCAATGTAAGCAACATTAAAAATGTTTTATGTTGGCCGGGCGCGGTGGCTCACGCCTGTAATCCCAGCACTTTGGGAGGCTGAGGCGGGCGGATCACGAAGTCAGGAGACCGAGACCATCCTGGCTAACATGGTGAAACCCTGTCTCTACTAAAAATACAAAAAATTAGCCGGGCGTGGTGGCCGGCGCCTGTAGCCCCAGCTACTCAGGAGGCTGAGGCAGGAGAATGGCATGAACCCGGGAGGCGGAGCTTGCAGGGAGCCGAGATCGCGCCACTACACTCCAGCCTGGGCAACAGAGGGAGACTCCATCTCAAAAAAAAAACAAAAAATTTTATATTAAAACATTTGTAATCCACAAAGTCTGAATGAGTAAAATTAGTATTTGCATGACAAATTTTCTAGTGAAACTCATCTACATCACCATTTCACAGTCTGAAAAATAGCTGGAATAATAGGTAAATATAGAAGTAATAATAGCAATCCAATCCAAAATATGCCGACATTATTATGGACATTAAGTTTCTGAAGTTAAGCTCTACAACAGATGTACTATCTAGAGATAATCCTTTCCAAAATAATCAAGACTCACTTTCACTGCTATCTGGTAAAACTTGAGGTATTCTTTTGACTCCTTGGCATGATTCTCACACAATAGTTATTGCAATTCTTCTACCTCCTTAAGGTCCCCAATCCTCATTCACTAAACCTCATTCTAAGGATATCACCTGAGAAAGTCATTGGTTTCTTCATATTCTTACCTCTCACAATGTCTACTTTCACTTCTATCGCACCTCAGAGAAAGAGATCTACCTCCTTTCTAAGGTTAACTCCTTAGCCACAATAAATAAGCCCATTTCTTCTTACCACTTTCTGGAAATAACTGCAAATCGTTATTCCTTCAACTCTCATATTTTGCTCAGTACCATCCTTCCCTTCCCACTGGCTCCTTCCTGTCTCCAAACAATCCAAAAACAAAACACAACAAAACACCCCTTACTTTAGATTGTATTATATTTATTTCCTTTCACTGATAAATGTTTGGTTTGTTTTTGAGACAGGGTCTCACCTTGTCGCCCAGGCTGCAGCGCAGTGGCATGATCATGGCTCACTATATCCTCACACTCCCAGACTCAAGTAATCCTCCCACCTCAGCCTCTCAAGTAGCTGGGACCAGAGGCTCTTGCCACTATGCCCAGCTAATATCTGGGGGTGGCGGTTGGGGGAAGAGAGAGGCTCTCACTATGATGCTCAGGGTGGTCTCAAACTCCTGGACTCAAGTGATCTTCCTGTTCCTTTCTTGGCCCTCCAAAGTACTGGGATTACAGGTGTGAGCCACTGCGCCCGGCCTGTTTTGAACACGCCATCCGTACGTTTTTTTTTTTACTCACACAGTTATTATTTTCAACACATCTACTACATGCTTAATACCGTGAAGCCAAAGAGAAGTAGAAACAAGACATCTATGGCATCATCACAACTAGGGATACAAGATACTGTTATATGTGATTTAAGTGATGTCCCTGCAGAACAATCTTTGTAACAAAAACATACTGAGAAAAGCACACAGCATCTATGTTCTCTTTAACCCTCTATAATTGGCTTCTTCCTCTAACTCGAGCTGTATACCCAGATGTCACTAATAAACTTCTAATAACCAAATTCAAGTCTTTTTCCAGGCCGGGCACAGTGACTTATGCCTGTAATCCCAGCACTTTGGGAGGCTGAGACGGGCGGAATACTTGAGGTCAGGAGTTCAAGACCAGCCTGGCCAACATGGTGAAACCCCATCTCTACTAAAAATACAAAAATTGGCCAGGCATGGTGGCAGGCACCTGTAATTCCAGCCACTCGGGAGGCTGAGGCAGGATAATTGCTTGAACCTGAGAGGCGGAGGTTGCAGCGAGCTGAGATCGCGCCATTGCACCCCAGCCTGGGTGACAAGAGTGAAACTGTCTCAGGAAGAAAAATAAAAGTATTTTTCCCCCTCAGTTCTCATCATCCTTGCCTTCTCTACAAGTATTAACACTGGTGATGCAACTACCACCGTCAAAACCTTTTCTTACCTGAAGTATTCAGAATACCAATCTCATCTTTATACCTTGAAATCTATGATGAAGACATGTTTGTAACAAATGATTTTTTCTAAAAATCAAAATGATTAAAACCCAGCCTTGTCAACTGGCTCCTCTGATTGCCCCCGTCTACCTTTAGAAGAATATAATTTCTGTTTCTCTCCCCTCCTAGCCCCCACCTCCAGGTGACTGAGGAACTACTTCCATAAACAGACATCTCAGATGTTTTCAATTCCTCCCATTACCACCCATATCCAATTAATCTTTAAAGTATCTGCTTGAAGTTGCTCCACGTAAATGCCTAGCCTATACAAACACATGGCTCCCACCCTACTCAGAACTTGTATAATACAAATCTTTCAAGAGACAAGTAATTAGATATACCTTGGACTCATGTGCCATATATTTTTCTAGATTCTAGAAATATAGTGACTACCACAGACAAGGTCTAGGCATTCATGAAGTTTATATTCTACTGAGAGAGACAGACAAAAGTAAACAATATGGGTCATGCGCAGTGGCTCATGTGTGCAATCCTAGCACTTTGGGAGGCCAAGGTGGGCAGATCACTTTAAGTCAGGAGTTTGAGACCAGCCTGGCCAATATGGTGAAACCCTGTCTGTAACTAAAAATACAAAAAATTAGTCAGGCATGGTGGCACAAGCCTGTAATCCCAGCTACTCTGGAGGCTTAGGCAGAAGAATCACTTGAACCAGGAAGGTGGAGGTTGCAGTGAGCGGAGATCACGCCACTGCACTCCAGCCTATGCAACAGAGTGAGACTCTGTCTTAAATAAATAAATAAATAAATAAATAAATAGTGATTATATGATTTTAAGAGGTATTAAATGTTAAGAAGAAGGAAAAAACAGAAAAAGGGGCTAAATGATGGGGCTGAGTTTTCACTAGGAGGGCTTCCCTACAGGGGTAAATTTGAGCTGAGATCTAAGAGAAAATTAAGTAAAAACCTGAGGAAGGTGAGGGGGCAGTGTCTCATGCCTATAATCCCAGCATTTTGGGAGGCCAAGGCAGAAGTATCACTTGAGGCCAGCCAGGAGTTCTAGACCAGCCTGAGAAACACAGCAAGACTCTGTCTCAAAAAAAAAAAAAAAAAAGAAAAGAAAAAAGAAGTCTGAAGAAAGAGCATTCCAAGTTGATGGAACAGGTACAAAAGGCCATGAGATGTGAGATGGGAGTACACTCAACATATCTGAAGAACAGCACACAGGCCAATGGCTAGAATGAAAGTGACAGTGGTGGGAAAACAGAGAACGGGGCCAGAGTAAGTTAAACCATGGTTAGGCATTTCTGCTCCCAGATGTGTTGGGAAGCCATCAGAGAGTTTAGAGCAGAAAAATGACTGGGTATGACTTATGTTCTAAAAGGTACATTTCAGCGATTGGGTAGAAAATGGATTGTATGGAGAAATAGGCTGACTGGTCAGGTGAACAGGGCAATCTGGGAAAGAGATGAAAAGTGGCTTGGTATAGTAGGGTGATAGCTATGAAGGTGGTAAGAATGTGAGCAACAGTGAGTTTTCGGTTATACTGGATTCAAATCTACATTTTAGTTACCTTGAGCAAGTTTCGTTTTTTGTTGTTGTTGTTGTTGCTGTTTTTGAGATGGAGTCTTGCTCTGTCGCCCAGGCCGGAGTGCAGTGGCGCCATCTCGGCTTACTGCAACCTCCACCTCCCAGATTCAAGCAATTCTCCTGTGTTGGCTTCCTGAGTAGCTGGGACTACAGGCATGTGCCACCACGCCTGACTAATTTTTGTATTTTTAGGAGAGATGGGGTTTCAACATGTTGGCCAGGCTGGTCTCGAACTCCTGACCTCAAGTGATCTGCCAGCCTCAGCCTTCCAAAGTTTTGGGATTACAGGCGTGAGCCACCGCACCCGGCCAAGTTTCTTAAGCAATGAGTCTCAACTTCCTAGTGTGGGTTGGGCATGGTGACTCACACTTGTAAACCCAACTCTCGAGGAGGCCAAGGCAGGAGGATTGCTTGAGCCCAGGAGTTTGAGACCAGGCTGAGCAACAAAGCGAGACCCTGCCTCTATAAAAAAATTTAAAAAATTGGCTCAGTGTGGTGCCATGTACCTGTAATCCCAGTTACTTGGGAAGCTAAGGCAGGAGGTTCCCCTAAACCCAGGAGTTTGAGGTTGCAGTGAGCTACGATTGTGCCACTGTACTCCAGCCTGGGCAAGAGTGAGATCTTGTTTTTATAAATAAATAAATATAGAAGAAACATCAACAAATCTGTGGCCAATAAAGTCCCCAATACTATAGTCACGTGAGTCCATGAAGAAACAGACCACGAATCGAAAACACTGGTTTATCTAAGAAACAGGAAATATCTTCATTTCAAGATCAATTTAACTTAGGACCTAAAAAGAATTTAAAAGGCTAAAGTTTTCAAAAACTAATTCAGCACTGTTCCTTTTAAAGTTTTTAAGCTCAATTTTTAATTAACTAAAATGAAATAGGAATACTTTCCTTTTATTAACTTTTTAGTCTCTGAGTCATTCTGGATCCATGTGAGCCCTTTCAGAGCAAGCACTCAGTCATCTTCAGGTAACCCTCCTCCCTTTTCAGAACCAACAGAATCTACTGAATACCACAGTAACATTTCTTTCTTCACTCACTGGCCATGAAGACCCAGAAAAAGTTTTAGCTGTCTACAATTTATCCATCAAGTACTTCAACAGTAATAAAGGAAGTAACCAAGTCATTCAACAGTCTTTTCTTTTTTTGAGACAAGGTACTTGCTCCGTCACCCAGGCTGGAATACAGTGGCACAATAACAGCTCACTGTAGTGACCTCCAGACTCAACTGATCTTTCCACCTCAGCCTCCCAAGTAGCTAGGGCCATAGCTGTGCGCATGCCACCATGCCTGGCTAATTTTTTATTTTTTATAGAGACAGGGTCTCCTTATGTTAGCCAGGTTGGTCTCAAACACCTGGGTTCAAATGATTCTCCTGCCTCAGCCTCCTGAAATGCTAGGATTACAAGCATGAGCCACCACACCCAGCCAACAGAGTCTTTTGGGTATCTATTAGGATTCTTATATTATCTAGCTCCTATTTACATTTGCTATCTTGCAAATATATCAGTTTCTCATACATAATACAATTCAGGTGCCACAAAGTCATATACTTTAGGGCTCTGTTAAATACACTGGGGTTCTGTGACACCACCATGAATAAACCAAAGAATGAGATCTCAATCTACCATTTCTTTTCATTACTCTGCAAAACATCAGTGGTAGGCTCTGCAAACAGATAAGAATTTATTATACACAGTCATGACCTCCAAGAATACTGCTTACATTAATGGAAACGAGTACAAACAGAACTTGGCCAGGCGAGGTTGCTCACTCCTGTAATCCCAGCACTTTGGGAGGCCGAGGCGGGTGGATCATGAGGTCAAGAGTTTGAGACCAGCCTGGCCAACATGGTGAAACCCCGTCTCTCCTAAAAATACAAAAATTAGCTGAGCATGGTGGTGCATGCTTGCAGTCCCAGCTACTTGGGAGGCTCAGGCAGGAGGATCGCTTGAACCTGGGAGGCGGAGGTTGCAGTGAGCCGAGATCGTGCCATTACACTCCAGCCTGGGCGACAGAGTGAGACTCCATCTCAAAAAAACAAAAACAAAAACAGAACTTGCTTCCCAAAGCAGCTTAACAATACTAGCTGAAGAATACAAAAATACTACAACTAGAGTAGGTCTGAGAGCTCAGACACACTAAAAAATATATTTCAAAATTACTACCTATCATCCTTGCATATTTCTCATCTCAGAACAATACTTAGCAACAATGTCTGTTAATGAGTGCTCATCTAATGGGTTAATTTACAGATTTTACCCAAAAATGAGATATCATAGTCCTCTCATAATTTTAATACTGCACAGTCTCAGGCACTGACTCTAACTTCAACCTCCTCAATCAAGACCTAAAAATGTTTAATGATGACTGAAAGAACATATAAAAGAACAAAATCCAAACCTCACAACATCAAAAATCACAATTAAAACCAATTTATTATATCTACTAGCAACACATTAAAAACCTACTTTTCCTGAGTTTTCAAAACTTTGTCAACAAGTACTTGCACAATCTCATGAACTTTAACTTTATGAGAGAAATCTGAAACTTTCCATTAGGACTTTGCTGAAAGTGATTGCTTGACAGGAGTGGTTTTAGGCTAGTGATCACATATAGGGATTTTGCTGGAATCATATTTGCTGTATACAACAACATTTAACATACAGAAGAATGCATCTTTCTCCTAAAGGAACAATGCAATCTAAGAGAATGCGTATGTGTTTTACAATTAACATATCAACTATTTGTTTCGAATTGGTTATCTCCGAGTTTATTAGGCCAGACATGGTGACTCACGCCTGTAATCCCAGCATTTTGGGAGACCAAAGTGGGAAGATCACTTCAGCCCATGAGTTGGAGACCAGTTGGGCAACACAGGGAGACTCCATCTCCACAAAAAATTAAAAAAAAAAAAAAAAATAGCTGGGCTTCACTTTGGGAGGCCGAGGCAGGCAGATCACCTGATGTCAGGAGTTCGAGACCAGCCTGACCAACATGGAGAAACCCCTCCTCTACTAAAAATACCAAAACTACAAAATTAGCCAGGTGTGGCGGCGGATGCCTGTAATCCCAGCTACTGAGGCTGAGGTAGGAGAATCGCTTGAACCCGGGAGGCAGAGGTTGCAGTGAGACGAAATTGCACCATTACACTCCAGCCTGGGCAACAAGAGCAAAACACAAAATAGCTGGGTTTGGTGGCATGAGTCCATAGTCCCAGCTACTGGGGAGGCTGAGGCAGGAGGGCTGCTTGAGCCAGGAGGAGTCTGAGGCTGCAGTGTGCTATGATCACACCACTAAACTCCAGTCTGGGTGACAGTGAGACTGTTTCTTTAAAAAAAAAAAAAAAAAAAAAAAAAAAAGGTCCCTGGTGTAACAGGTTACTTTTCAGCACACAGTTTTCTCCATTTGAAGGATGAGCAGGAGTTCATGACCCGCCTGGCCAACTTGGCGCAACCCCGTCTCCACTACAAATAGAAAAATTAGCCAGGCGTGGTGGCAGGCATCTGTAGTCCCAGCTACTCGGGAGGTTAAGGCAGGAGAATCGCTTGAACCTGCGAGGCAGAGGTTGCAGTGGGCTGAGATCCCACCACTGCACTCCAGCCTGGGCGACAGAGCGAGACTGAATGGAGAGAGGGGAGAGGGGAGAGGGGAGGAGAAGAGAAGGAAGGAATAGAACAGGCTAGCAATAAGGCAAATGGAAAAAGCTTTAAGAAGACAGATGGGGAAAGAATTGCTTCTTTGTTCAAGTATGGACTAACATACTCAATCTTTTATCTGATTCCACATCCTTCCCTTGTGCAATCCACGCCCATCAATAATATCTCTCCATAAATACTAAGTCCCTTCTGAGTGATAGGTGAGGCAAGGGAGAGGACAAGCACAGTTCTAAATTATTGATATTAAAAAAAAAAAAACTTGGCCAGGCGCGGTGGCTCACGCCTGTAATCCCAGCACTTTGGGAAGTCAAGGCAGGTGGATCACCTGAGGTCATGAGTTCAAGACCAGCCTGACCAACATGGTGAAATCCTCTTTAGTAAATACAAAAAATTAGCCAGGTGTGGTGGTGCATGCCAGTAATCCCAGTTACTTGGGAGGCTGAGGCAGGAGAATCGCTTGAACTTAGGAGGTGGAGGTTGCAGTGAGCCGAGATTGCACCATTGCACTCCAGCCTAGGCAACAAGAGCAAAAATTCCATCTCAAAAAAAAAAAAACAAAACCAAACCAAAAAAAAAACAAAACAAAAACAAAAAAACTTGGTTGGGCACTGTGGCTCATGCCTGTAATCCCAGCACTTTGGGAAGCCAAGGCCAGCAGTTCAAGACCAGCCTGGGCAACACAGTGAGACCTGGTCTCTACAGAAACAAAAACAATCCCCAAAAAGCAAAAACCAAAAAAAGCAGCCGGGTGTGGAGGCTAACGCCTGTAATCCCAGCACTTTGGGAGACCAAGGTGGGTGGATAACTTGAGGTCAGGAGTTCGAGACCAGCCTGACCAACATGGTGAAACCCCGTCTCCACTAAAATACAAAATTAGCCAGGTGTGGTGGCACGCACCTGTAATCCCAGCTACTCAGGAGGCTGAGGCAGGAGAATCACTTGAACCCAGGAGGCCGAGGTTGCAGTTTGCTGAGACCGTGTCACTGCACTCCAGCCTGGACAACAAGAGCGAAACTCCATCTCAGGGGAGGGGAAAAAAAAAGACAGAATAAAGCAATTGCGTCTTCCAAATAACTTTACTCCAAGTATCTAAAATGGTGTGCTGCTAGTAGCATGGTTTTAGCAACCTGTTCCAAAAACTCTATATTATATTCCTATATAAAGTGTTCGGGTATCTACCAGTCACAAGATTATCCATCCTCATGATGGCAGCAAAATACAAATGGATATCTAAAAACTAACAACAGCTACACTTTGAAAGGGATCAAGAATTTTCCCCCGTCTGTACAGTATCTGCATAGTAGATAAAACACTTTCCAAACTGGAAAGATCTTGGTAAACTGCTAAAGAACACTTACCTCCGTTCCAATTCCAGGTTGCACGCCAGAGTACACACTGTCTGGTGGAGGACCACCATACTTCCTCTGTCCTGTGGTTACATCCAGAGTATAACCAGTTCTCTCAAGCAAGGCCTAGAGATAATTATACATCTCTTTATACTTGAGTACTAAATCTCACACACAAGCATCAGTGTATTAATCTTTTCCAAAAAGGACTCCAACTTCCTAGGAGATATATTTTTATGGTTAGGTAAAAAAAAAAGTCAAAATTCGCACTGGTTCCCCATACATGTTTCTACTGGTGAGTCTTTTCAAATAAAATGTTCTCTATCCTTAAAAAAATTAGCACAAGTCTTACCTCCTTCATGCAGCTTCTCTCATTTACTATTACTCACATCCATTTCTCCCTACTGTCTTTTCTTCTTTTTTTTTGAGATGGAGTCTTGCTCTGTTGCCCAGGCTGGAGTGCAGTGGCATCGTCTCGGCTCACTGCAACCTCTGCCTCCCGGGTCTAAGAGATTCTCTTGTCTCAGCCTCCCAAGTAGCTGGGATTACAGGCATGTGCCACCACGCCCAGCTAATTTTTGTATTTTTAGTAGAGATGGGGTTTCACCATGTTGGCCAGGCTGGTCAGGAACTCCTGGCCTCATGAGATCCGCCTGTCTTGGCCTCCCAAAGTGCTAGGAGTACAGGTGTGAGCCACTGTGCCCAGCCCCCACTGTCTTTCTAGTGTACTTTTTTTTTTTTTTTTTTTTGAGACGGAGTCTCGCTGTGTCACCCAGGCTGGAGTGCAGTAGCGCGATCTCGGCTCACTGCAAGCTCCGCCTCCCAGGTTCACGCCCTTTTCCTGCCTCAGCCTCCCGAGCAGCTGGGACTACAGGCACCCGCCACAACGCCCGGCTAATTTTTTGTATTTTTAGTAAAGACAGGGTTTCACCGTGTTAGCCAGGATGGTCTCAATCTCCTGATCTCGTGATCCACCCGACTTGGCCTCCCAAAGTGCTGGGATTACAGGAATGAGCCACCATACCCAGCCTCTAGTGTACTTAAAGTTCCATCATTTAAGCTTGATTTTGTTTGATCCTTCTGGTTTGTACTCCTGCCATATCATAAGCTCCACAAGAATCAGGTAATCAGACAAGAATCATACAGTACAGACTAAAAATATTTGGCAATTACCAAATAAGTATAGTCAGGTTCCGAAAAATAAGTAAAATCTTGTGTTTCCTGATTACCAACCTTCCTTACATTCTATTAGGTATTAAGAGCAATCATAGAAAAGAAGATAATCTCCTTGCTCTCAGGAATTTATGTTATAATTGAGGCAACATCTATATAAAGAGCTTAGAGAAGAAAAGATACAATGGTAAACAAAGAAACACAATCTACCTAGAAAAGAGAAATTTACACTTCAGTTTTTTTGGTTTTTTTTTTTTGAGACGGAGTCTCGCTCTGTCGCTCAGGCTGGAGTGCAGTGGCGCGATCTTGGCTCACTGCAAGCTCCGCCTCCCGGGTTCACGCCATTCTCCTGCCTCAGCCTCCCAAGTAGCTGGGACTACAGGCGCCTGCCACCACACCCGGCTAATTTTTTGTATTTTTAGTAGACAGGTGGCCTCACCGTTGTTAGCCAGGATGGTCTCGATCTCCTGACCTCGTGATCCACCCGCCTCAGCCTCCCAAAGTGCTGGGATTACAGGCGTGAGCCACAGAGCCCAGCCAGGTTTTTAAAATTACACAATGTCAGAACAATAAGAGACTTTAGATATCATCAAGTTCAGTGAACACTAGGATTTCACAGGGATGCATGCCTTCGGCCTTCCATTCTTCTACCTTTGACTGAAACAGAGCCATAAATGTAATATAAAACAGGGGTCCCCACACCCCTGGGCCACAGACCCGTACTGGTCCATGGCCTGTTAGGAACCGGGCTGCATAGCAGGAGGTAAATAGCGGGCAAGTGAGAACAAAGCTTCATCTGTATTTACAGCCGCTCCTCATCCTCCCTATCATTGGCATTACTGCCTGAGCTGTGAGCTCCACCTCCTGTCAGATCAGCAGCCGCATTAGGTTCTCACAGGAGGGTGAATCCTATTGTGAAGTGTGCATACAAGGGATCTAGGTTGCATGCTCCTTATGAGAATCTAATGCTTGAAGATCTGTCACCATCTACCAGTATGCCCAGATGGCACCATCTAGTTGCAGGAAAACAAGCTCAGGGATCCCACTGATTCTACATTATGGTGAGTTGTATAATTATTTCATTACATATTACAATGTAATAATAATAGAAATAACTTCAACATACAATAACTATTTCTAATTAAAAAGTCTATCACAGCCGGGCGCGGTGGCTCACGCCTGTAATCCCAGCACTTTGGGAGGCTGAGGCGGGCGGATCACGAGGTCAGGAGATCGAGACCATCCCGGCTAAAATGGTGAAACCCCGTCTCTACTAAAAATACAAAAAATTAGCCGGGCGTAGTGGCGGGCGCCTGTAGTCCCAGCTACTCGGGAGGCTGAGGGAGGAGAATGGCGTGAACCCGGGAGGCGGAGCTTGCAGTGAGCCGAGATCCCGCCACTGCACTCCAGCCTGGGCGACAGAGCGAGACTCCGTCTCAAAAAAAAAAAAAAAAGTCTATCACAGGCCGGATATGGTGGCTCACACCTGTAATCCCAGCACTTTGGGGAGGGTGAGGTAGGCAGATCCCCCAAGGTCAGGAGTTTGAGACCAGCCTGGCTAACACAGTGAAACCCCGACTCTACCAAAAAACAAAAAAAATTAGCAGCCAGGCACGGTGGCTCACGCCTGTAATCCCAGCACTTTGGGAGGCCGAGGCGGGCGGATCATGAGGTCAGGAGATTGAGACCATCCTGGCTAACATAGTGAAACCCTGTCTCTACTAAAAATACAAGAAAAAAAAAATTAGCCGGGCATGGTAGCAGGCACCTGTGGTCCCAGCTGCTCAGGAGGCTGAGGCAGGAGAATGGCGTGAACCCAGGAGGCAGACCTTGCAATGAGCTGAGATCGCGCCACTGCACTCCAGCCTGGGCGACAGAGGGAGACTCCGTCTCAAAAAAAAAAAAAAAAAAAAAAAAAAAAATTAGCTGGATGTGGTGGCGCACGCCTGTAGTCCCAGCTACTCAGGAGGCTGAGGCAGGAGAATCGCTTGAACCCAGGAGACAGAGGTTGAAGTGAGCTGAGATGAGCTGAGATGGCGCTACTGCACTCCAGCACTCCAGCCTGGGCCACAGAGTGAGACTCTGTCTCAAAAAAAAAAAAAAAAAAGAAAAGTATGTCACTACAGCAAGACACGAGTATCCATTTAACTAAGGAATTAGGTTCACTGGTCTTTCATTAAAAGCTGTATATTTACCTTTTCAAAGCTGTTTATCTAAGTAATAAAATGGTAATAATAATAATGGTTCATGGTTATATAGTTCTTGCTACATTCCAGGCATTATTCTAAGTGCTTTATATATGTTAATTCATTTACTCCTTACAATAACTCTGTAAGGTAGTCACTATTACTATCCCCATTTTATAAATAAAGAAACTGAGGTAACTGAATATTCAAAAGGAGGAAAGCAGTTATAACAACTTTTTATCAAGTTATAACCTTTTTATCAAGAGAAAAGAAACAAAGTGGCTGGAAAATAACTGAACCAAGAGACATTACTGGATCAATCCAAGAAACTACCAGCGAAGCATCAATAAATATACGTCATTCATGGCCACAAAAGAGGGAATGAGGAAGAGTATGAATTAGGGCTTTTCATTAAACATGCAATTGAGTGTCGATCCCCAAAATTATCCTTCTTATGTAATTCCTCTAAATTATTTCATTTCTAAACACTAGTTTTGAAAAGTGAAACTTTCAGCTGGGCGTGGTGGCTCACGTCTGTAATCCCAGCACTTTGAAGGCCGAGGTGGGCGGATCACAAGGTCAGGAGATCGAGACCAATCTGGCCAACACAGTGAAACCCTATCTTTCCTAAAAATACAAATAATTAGCTGGGTGTGGTGGTGCATGGCTGTAATCCCAGCTACTTGGGAGGCTGAGGCAGGAGAATGGCATGAACTTGGGAGGTGGAGCTTGCAGTGATCCAAGACTGCGCCGCTACTCCAGCCTGGGCGACAGAGCAAGACTCCGTCTCAAAAAAAAAAAAAGTGAAACTTTCTAGGAAACATGGAAAGAGGCATTTGACCTCATCATTAAATGCAATTTCATTACAACTACCCAAGTCAAGTTTTACCTTGATCTTCGCTTCATCAGGTCCCTTTGTGGACTCTTGCACCTTGCTCCCCTGTTTCTCTCTCTGCCTGTAGGTCTTCATAACTCCACATAAAAATGCACTTTTGTTCTAGAACAGACAAGTAATTCAATAAAAAGAATCACCAAAAATATCTGAAGGGTCAGATACATAATTAAATTTAAATTTCAGAAAACCAGGATTTTAACAAAAGATTTACTGATTCATTCAACAAGTATTTGCCGAGTGGTTACTATGTGCCAGAGATTGGAGCAGACAGCAGTAAGGCAGTATAGACCTCAGGGAGCTTACCTTCTACCCTGGGAAAACACAGTCTTCCACTTGTTGATATGTGACTGTATCTAGACTGTCTTTGCCAGATGTCGGAAACTATTCCTCCCACCTACATTTTCCTCCAAGATAATAAAACAGGATCAAATAACCCCCAAATGTTAAAAAGCTGAGTAACATGTAAAAACCTATAGTAACAACCATCAAAACTTGGCTTTAATTTTAAGTTTTTAAAATAACTTACTGCACAAGGGGGTGGGAGAAAACTTTTGCTTTATACTTGGGCTTCTGAAACTCTGCCACAAGCAGTTTTTTTCCTTTAAACTAATTTTTTAAAAGAAGAGGTAGTCACAAACAAAAAATACCACTTCTCCATAGGAAAAAAAGTAATAGTAAAATAATTTCAGATTACTAATTGTTCAAAGACATTTCTGAGTAACGACCTTACCTGAACATGTGATAAGTCACTTTCCTTGAACTGCTGTAGTACAGACAGAGCTCCTTCTTCATTAAATTCCCTGAGAGCATCAATTGCTCTTTCATCAAGATCGACATAAGCTACCAATCCTAAAAATTAAATTGAAAGGGGTAACGTTATTGCAACAAAAGGGGTAATCTAAGCTCTACTGACGTTTAATCAAGAATTGTTACATTCAATATGATCACTAACAAACTGTATTTTCATTTAACTATATGCATATACGCAGCTATCCAAATACTACATAGAAAGGTCCAGGACAAATATGAAAATAAAGATAAAATGTCAACAACCAAAAACATGAATTTCAATCTCCATATCCACAAACCTCCCCCGCCAAATCCTAACATCCATTTCCCACTCCCCCAAAGGTATAAGTCTTGAAAGTTAAATCTGATGTACATACTGTATTACAGATTATGCATTAATACAACAAATTTTGGTTTATATTAGAGTGATAAGAATACATTGCGTTTTCCAAGGATAAACCTTCAAATTACAGACGGTTACAGTTGATGCTAACCACCTAAGAGGTGGAGGAAAATCTGAAAACAAATTTTACTAAGTAATTCTTTCCACTCTCCAAAAAGTGTCAAAAGGCTTTCCCTCCTGAACACCAAAGATAAACTGAAATGCATTTGTTTATCTGAGCATCCACTTTGCTGCAGTCAGAATGTGGAAAGGCATAATTTTAAACTTCTACAAATGCAAGTGCAGCTTGATTAATCAATTCTGAAAGTCATACTTTAAGGCATTCTTTGTTCTTCTGAAGTGACAAGCTGAGATTTAAAAGATGCTGTGGCATTCACATTGACTGTCAAGAACGACAATCATTTTCAAATGGCAATAAAGACTTTATGGTCTTACAAGTAAACTTGACAGAAAATATATACACTGCATTTCATATATGTAAGTATATTCAACTGCACACAGAACATCTACTAAGTTTAAAATATAATTTCTTAAGTCTGTTAAGTTTGTGTCATATTTACATATGGAATATATTTCAGAATTGATCCAACGTAAAATGCAAGTATTTCGTAGATTAAAACCCCCAAGTTCATATGAACATGAAAAGTGACTCCATTTTGATAAAGCTAAAAAGAACTTTATTCCATATAGTAAATTTTAAATAAATGTAATGCCACTTCCAAAGTTACTTTTTAAAAAAGTTGCCATGATTTGTTTCAAAAGCTCGAAATGAGCATGTGTAAATAACTGGAGCTGCCTCACTTGAATATTCCATACCACCACCCGAAGCCACAACTCAGGACACCCATCAATCCATTTTGTCAAACCAAGTCTACGCCCAAACCATCAGCCTCTTATCAATAACAAAACACTCTACAAGAGAGCATCTCTAAGCAGATCACTGCCAATTCTCTATGGCAGAATGTCACAGAAAGTTCCTGAGGACTGATTTTCAAATGCGACCATGACCCAGGAGTCATTTTTATAAGTCATTTTAATGTCTAAAATTATGCTAAGCTTCCCAGATTTAAAAATTTTTTAAGGACAAAAAAAAAAAAACAGCTATTTGCTACTACTGTACTTAAGACACATTTGTGAGTGAGACAATTCAATTCTCTCTCAGAATCTGAATAGGCACACACAACACAGAGGAAGAAAGTTTCCATCTATGTCCCCAAAGGAGGAGGACACATTCATTTATGAACAACGCTCCCTAAGGGTAAATATTTCTCTCCCTCTTTAAAACTTCAAACCACTTACAACCAACTATATTAAGATGTTCAAATTTGCTTAAGCACTTAACCATGGCACTTCTGGATTAAAAAAAAAAAAAAGAAGCAGCTGTTACAACCAAACACTTCCAAATTACGGAGAGATGTGGATTTCTATTAGAAACTAGACAAGCCACAAACTCTCAAGGAGTCTGACATTTATTATGGTTTCAGACGATACAGCTATCCTCTTGTTATGCCACCTAATCAGACCTAAGCTGATTTAACAATCACTTTAAGAAGGTAAAAGTAGAAAAGCAAAAGCAAAATGATGACTGATTTTGATTAAGAAAAAAATGTAAAATTTGGTATGCAGAAACATACATTTTTATGGGTGGTAAATCTAAGACAAATCGATGTGCTGTTCTGAAACAACTAAGACTGCATATTCAACACTAAGAAGGCTTCAAAATAATGAAATAAGAGTATCAAAGTCAAACCCAATATGCCTTCAATGAAGGGAAAGTAACAAACATTCAGCTCTACAGATCAGAAACAATAAGTATTATTTAACCTTAAAAAACTATAAAATTCAAAGTGGTTTGCCCTCACTTTCATAACCAGTCAGAAACAAGAAATGCATATTATACCTGTCTGAAATATTTCATCAAGTCTTTCTGCCACCTTCTGTGGGAGGCCTGCCTCTATCAGTGTCTTGTAGTGTTCTGTGTGAGTTACACTGGAAGTATCCATTGGTTCTTCCTCTTCTTTTAACTGTACCGCATTACCATTCACCTGATTAGCCATTTTATTATGCTGCTGGAAAAAATTCAGGAGCTATATTACATTAAGCCAGAAATAACTAGTTTGTAGGACAATGCATGATTTATCTAAACTAATTTGTATACATGCTGCTAATAACCTCTATCAAAATAATAATTTATTCCTCCTGTGATGTATCTGACCTAAATTGGCAATAATAATCCTGTAAAACCATAGAAAATGTACATGGAAGCATTAGATCTTTAAGGAACTTCATGTACACCGGGTAAGATAAAGGCTTTAATTTACTGAAGGTAGAATTGCTGATTAACAAAAGCAGCTGTTCTGTCCTGGTGAAAAGATCAAAATCACTACAAAATCCTTTACTAAAAAGCCCCTCAGCTCTCGGGTCTTACACAGTTTTAAAAAGTTTTGTTTTAAAAACAGAATGAACACCCACAGACCACTTAATCAAGATTTAAGGACTTTCAAATTTTCCTGGCTCTGCTTCAAATACAGTATCGGTGTGAAATAAGTGCCCTGTTTTCTCTAGTTCAACATGCTGGTGGTTTGGGTTTTCTCCACCTAACAATACAAAACGAAAACAAAAAAAAACCAACTTGACATTAATTTTTGTTCTAAGATTAATTCGCTATTCCCACAGATTTAAAAGAAAAAATGACCAAGTTTAAAAGCGAAACAATTGTTTTCAGTCCAAATAAAATACTAAGTGAGCTATAGTTTAGGTTGCTTCTTAAAAAAAAAGAGTACATGTTGAAATTTTCATATCAGTAAAATAAAGATGTAAAAACATACTGAAGAATGGACAACTTCTTCCAAATATTTCAAAAACCGTTACCTAATTAGGCTAAACTTCAGCCAGATTTCTCAGATTAACCTATCAAAAATAATTTTGTACATTCAGCCTGTAGGTAATGCTGAAATGGACTGACTCCCTGAAGAGAGAGAGTAAACAATAAACCATACAAGGCCAGTCTGTGTACTGCCTCAAAAGACAGGGAATTAAAGTGCATTTGTCTGTGGTGAAATTACAATGTGATGAAGATAATAGGCAGCAGAACAAGACATTGCAACACATACTAAATAAAAGACATAAAGGTGGATCTCAAGAAAAAGCCTACTTTTCTTGATGAAACTCAAGATACCTAGTCATCTATAAAGAAAATACAAGTCTCCTACAAAGTACTAAGACACATAAGATAACCACACTTCCCGACAGCTTATCGAACATTGTGCAAATGCACCAGGTGCAGTTTTCTGGCTTAAAACAACTTCTTTTCATTTCAAAGTCCACTGATACTTAGTTGAAGTTAACGAAAGAGGGAGGAAGACCAAGAGGGGAAGGAGGTAATAGAGAGTAGGAAGAAGAAGAAAATGCAAAGGATTACTCTGAAAATGAGATAAACATGACTCCTCACAATTACAAAACACTATTAAGACTCGATAGCCCTTAATAGACGCAGACTGTGGTTAAATTCTGGGTGGATGTTTCTCAAGACAAGCTTCAAATTCTGATGAACTAGCAAAAACGGAAACATTCGAAATGTCACACTTTTGATCAAGAAACTGTATTGTGTGAGATGAATACGTTTACTGATTAACACGACCTATTTCTATAAAGATGCATCCTAAAACACAAAATCTCCTTGCGAACATAAGGTTCTGTTTTCCCATGCTCCCCCATCCCCACATACTACCTTAAGATCATCAGAACTCAAAAGTTCTCAGTATCACAAGACCCTTACAGCATTGTACCTAGGAATACTATCAGTCACAGAAAAGAGGCAAATTTTTAACAGAAAAGTTCAATGAACATCTGTTAAGGTGGGGTTTTTAAGTATGTGTAAAGCAAAAAGACAAGTTGTGTATTAAGTACAAGACAGAAATATTTATGCCTACCATTTCATTGCAAAGGCTCTACAAGTTGATACTGAAATTGGTTAAAATTTTCAAAAAAAGTTTGTAAATTTTAACAAAAAAACCGTAAAATAATTAGATTCCAGAAAATAAAACCTTCGGATCAAGGAAAGCCCTCTCTCTTCAAGCCAAATACAAAATGCTCATTTTGAAAAGACTTTTTATGTCATATGAGACCATTTGAAACTCATTCAAATGTGGCATTCAACACAATGCCACACAGCCAAACCATATTTCTGGATGCAGCAAATATACTAACGTGACTGGAGTCATTTGATCTAAACATTTTTGCAAAAAAAAAGGAGACATTTAAAGATTTAAAAGGGCTGCTGGGAGATTCGGGATGTCAGCACTAACTCCTCCCTGACTTTTTCTGAACCTCTCTGTGCAAATTCTTCATATTAAGAGACGGGCTTTAAAAGAACCAACGAAATGAGACTAACGGTTATCTCATGGCTTAGGAGTGTCGAGCTCTCATCCTACGACTGACTCATGAGACATCAATTCAGCCACTTGAGGACTGCAAAAATCTCAAACAGGTAGTGTGAAAGGACTGAACCTTCCAAGAAGCCCTGGGCTTTTTTAAAAATTTGGCAATACGGCCACTACCGTGTAAGAAAAAGGATCGCCTTTCCAATTTGGTGCGCCTCTGACAGTCTCAGAATTATCCATTTCAGGCGCCGCTTGGAGCCTAAGTTCTACGGCCTCTAGTAGTCATTTTTTCCTTCAAATCTCAGCCCGCGGCATGCAGAATGTGGGAGGGGAGGGAGGCTTCCCACACAAATCGGCCTTTCGGTTTCTGCTCACACAAAACTTTTCTCCCGGCTCAGATAACCCTGGGATCTGCACCCCGCCTTCCGCCCCCCACCCCCATCCCCTCAGGCCCGTCCGGATCATCAGCACATCCCTCTCGGGCTAGGCCGGCCGCGGCGGGAGCGAAGCGGCTCCGGCGGGGAGAAGCGGCAGGGCCGCGGGCGCCTCAGGCCCTTCGCGGGATCCGGCCGCATGGAGCAGCGAGCGGAGGCGGGAAAAGCACGGCCGGCCCCAGCAGGCCGCGCGGAGAGCGCCCAGCGGGCCGGACCGCGGGCTAAAGGGGCGGGGGGAGGAAGAGCGAGGGCGAGAAGCGTTTCGGCCGGGCTAGGCCCACAGCCGCGCGGGCGGACTAGACCGAAGCCGCCCCCAGCCCGTCCCCACCCCCACCCCGGGGCCTCGGAGCGCAAACGAAACGGGACCAGGCACGGAGCCCGGGCTGAGTCGGGTCGCATCGGGGCTCCCGGCCCCTCCCCCCACGGGCCGGCGCGAGACTCACCAGGGCAGAGCGGGGGCCGGCAGCCGGGCCCGTGAGAATCAGCGCGAGGCGCTTTGAAAACGACTAGAAATGGCGCGCGCGCCACCCCCTCCCCCCCCTGATGGACTGAGACGCGATCCCGGCAGCACGCGGGGTTTCCCGGAACTGCTTCCAGGGACTCCGAGCTACGGGGCAATCGCTTGGCGAGGCGGCCTGACAGGCAGCTCAGACGACCAGTAGTATCCAGGCAAAACGGACCACGCCGGACGACTCGAGAGCCAATCGATGAAGCTGCCGGCTGAACCAATGAGGGTGCTCAGCGCCCCTGGCTGGGGCGCCTCCGGGGCGGGGGCAGGCACACAAAGGGGTCTGTGGTGGAAGCCCTTGGTGGCTGCAAGGCTTGGGGGCGCTGGGTCCTGGGTGGACGAAGCTCCTCCCTCTTCGTCTGCCGCCGATGCGAGGCCGAAAATCTAGGCCTCGCGCCGCGTGGCCGCCTCCGGAGCCCCGCCCCCTATGGTCAGCACTGGCCCAGCTCCGCCATGGCGCTTGCGTCCCGCCACCGGCCGCCCTTAGCCCCCGAGTCCTCCCTCGCACCCCCGCGGCCGGCGTTCCCCCCAGACACGCCCATAGCCACGCGTTCGGGCCTCTTTCGGTCATCTTTTCGCCTCTAGTGAGCACACGATTTAAGGATGATTTGGCTCGTCATTTTGCTGAGGATTTTGTCTAGATAATCATTCCTTGGAACGATCGGAGAAATGCCTCTTTCCCTCCCTGGCTGCCGTCCACACATCGTTGGTGGCAGACTGTGAGGGAAATCGTTAAAATGACTCAAAAGCAATGTGTAACACAAGTGATAGAGCAGGGAGCTTTTCCCCACAGGGTTTGGAGCTACTTGATATTCATAAAATAAAGCAGCTATATACATCTCTGAAGCCAAAAGAGCCATGCAGGGGAAAGGGGTAATTCCCAAAGGACACTATAATTCGTGTTAGTCCTAAACCTATTTCTCACCTGCCATTCCTACTGATTTGTTCCCTGTCCTTAGTCCAAACCTGTCTCGTCTCATAGAAACCTTCCGAACTCACTTCTGTGGTGCAAGCGCTTTTTTCCCAACCCCAAACTCCAATGCCCCACCCTTAGGAAGTGGAGGAAGTCAAGCAGTGGTCTGCAGATTTCCAGATGCACTCAAGGATGATTAAATTTCTCAGAACCTACAAACCTATATTTAATTATTGAAAACGGGCGGGGCGTGGTAGCTCATGCCTGTAATCCCAGCACTTTGGGAGGCCGAGGCGGGTGTATCGGTCAGAAGTTCGAGACCAGCCTGATCAACATGGTGAAACCCTGCCTCTACTAAAAATACAAAAATTAGCCCGGTGTGGTGGCACGTGCCTGTAAACCCACCTACTCCGGAGGCTGAGGCAGAAAAATCGCTTGAACCCGGGAGGCGGAGGTTGCAGTGAGCCAATATCGCACCACTGCACTCCACCCTAGGGAACAACAGCGAAACTCCGTCTTAAAAAAAAAAAAAAAGAAAAAGAAATATTGAAAACGACTACTATGTGCCCAGTACCAAGTTAAATCTCTGGGTAGATCCAAGTTTTGTGTTATGGGGTGTGAGATTTACAGAAATGCTGGGAGTCTTAGGCCGGGCGCGGTGGCTCACGCCTGTAATTCCAGCACTTAGGGAGGCCGAAGTGGACGATCACTTGAGCACAGGAGTTCGAGACCAGCCTGGCCAACATAGTGAAACCCCGTCTCTACTAAAAATACACAAATTAGCCGAGCGTGGTGGCGCGTGCATGTAATTCCAGCTACTTGAGAGGCTGAGGCAGGAGTATCGCTTGAACCCGGGAGGCGGAGGTTGCAGTAGCCGGGATTGCGCCATTGCACTCCAACCTGGGCGACAAGAGTGAAACTCCTTCTAGAAAGAAAGAGAGAAAGACAGAGAGAGAGAAGAAAAGGAAAGAAAAGGAAAAGAAAGGAAGAAGGAAAGAAAGAAATGTTGGGAGTCTTTAAGAAAAATCATATTAAATGACGAATACAAATTTAGGAACAGAGTCTTGGAAGGGCATTGTAAAAGTGAGGGAGGACCCCGAAGCTTAACTTTTTTTTTTTAATAGAGACACGGGAGGTGCGGAGGGAATCTCGCTATGTTGCCCAGGCCGGTCTTGGCCGGTCTTGAATTCCTGGCCTCAAATGATCCTTCTGCTTCGGCCTCCCAAAGTGCTGAGATTACAGGCGCCCAGCCTGAAGCTTAAATTTTACTAGCTTCACATAAATCTGCCTCTAGCGCCATAATTCTTAACCTATTTTGTGCCATTTGGAAGTCTGGTAAAAGCTATGAATCTCTTCTCAGTTTTTAAATGCATGAAACAAAATACAGAGCAATACGAAAGAAACCATTTATATTGAAATACAATTAGGAAATATATTTTAAAACACATTCGTGATATAGTAAGGTTTTACTTTTTTATTTTTTATTTATTTTATTTTTATTTTTTTTTTTTTGAGATGGAGTCTCGCTCTGTCGCCCAGGCTGGAGTGCAGTGGCGCGAACTCGGCTCACTGCAAGCTCCGCCTCCCGGGTTCATGCCATTCTCCCGCCTCAGCCTCTCGAGTAGCTGGGACTATATAGCCTGCCATCATGCCCAGCTAATTTTTTTTTTTTTTTTTTTTTAGTTGAGACGGGGTTTTCACCGTGTTAGCCAGGATGGTCTTGATCTCCTGACCTCATGATCCGCCCGCCTCGGCCTCCCAAAGTGCTGGGATTACAGGCATGAGCCACCGCGCCCAGCTTATTTTTTTATTTTTTTTTGAGACAGAGTCTCGCTGTGTCGCCCAGGCTGGAGTGCAGTGGCGCAATCTCGGCTCACTGCAAGCTCCGCCTCCCGGGTTCACGCCATTCTTCTGCCTCAGCCTCCCGAGTAGCTGGGACTACAGGCGCCAGCCACCACGCCCAGCTAATTTTTTGTATTTTTAGTAGAGACGGGGTTTAACCGTGTTAGCCAGGATGGTCTCGATCTCCTGACCTCGTGATTCGTCCGCCTCAGCCTCCCAAAGTGCTGGGATTACAGGCGTGAGCCACCGCACCCAGCCCAGCTTTTACTTTTTAATTTTTTTTTTTTTTTTTAAACATGTGCTCACTTTATCACCCAGGCTGGAGTGCAATGGTGCAATCTGGGCTCACGGCAACCTCTGCCTCCAGGGCTCAAGCGATCCTCTGACCTCAGCTTCCCCAGTGGCTTGTAGGAACTACAAGCGCTGGCCACCGCTCTGGGCTAATTGTTGTTTTTGTTTTTTTGTGTTTTTTTTTTTTTTCTTTTTTTCAGAGACGGGGTTTCACCATGTTACCCAGGCAGGAACTTTTTCTTTATTAACACAATAACTATTAAGATCTTAGAGCAGATCTAATAACTACAGAAATTGTAGAGTGATATTTCAAGAAATCCATGAGTAGTAAAGTGATATGAAAATGATTTCTATTGGTGACAGAGGGAAAGCTGTTACTAATTCTACTGTGATATGTTGTCTACATTCACAATGGGGAAAAATGCTAAATTTCAGTTAGATGTTAGAGAAAACAAAGATGTAATTTTTTTCCCCATCCAAGTTTAAGTACTCCTTACTTGCATTCAGAGACTCCTTCAAGTCCATTGATGAGAACCCGTGGGTCAGATATGTAATTTTTTTTTTTTTGAGACAGTCTCACTCTGTGGCCCATACTGGAGTGCAGTGGTGCAATCTCAGCTCAATGCAACTTCCACCTCCCGGATTCAAGCGATTCTCCTGCCTCAGCCTCCCAAGTAGCTGGGATTACAGATGCCTGCCATGCATGACATCTGGCTAATTTTTGTATTTTTAGTAGAGGCAGGGTTTCACCATGTTGTCCAGGCTGGTCTCAAACTCCTGACCTCAAATGATCCGCCCACCTCGGCCTCCCAAAGTGTTGGGATTACAGGTGTGAGCCACCGCACCTGGCCTAGATATGTAATTTAAAACGATTCTATCACCCAGTATTTTCTGGGATAATATTTCAAATGTTCTGCTATGTAGTCATCAAAGGTATACTCCACATTTCAGACCATATGTCTTGATTTTTTTACTTGGAAAGAAAATTATTGTATAGATACAGATATTCATGAATTCAATATTCCACAAATATGTATTGCATGCCTCTATATAAAAATCATGGAGTTGGCCAGCATGGTGGCTCATGCCTGTGGTCCCAACACTTTGGGAGGCCAAGGCAGGCAGATCACCTGAGGTCGGAAGTTCAAGACCAGCCTGACCAACATGGAGAAACCCGGTCTCTACTACAAATACAAAAATTAGCTGGGCATGGTGGCGCATGCCTGTAATCCCAGCTACTCAGGAGGCTGAGGCAGGAGAATCACTTGAACCCGGGAGTCAGAGGTTGTGGTGAGCTGAGATCGCGCCATTGCACTCCAGCCTGGGCAACAAGAGTGAAACTCCAACTCAAAAAAAAAAAAGAAAGAAAGAAAAATCATGGAGTTAAGAGTAGAGAAAGCCAGGCACAGTGGCTCATGCCTGTAATTCCAGCACTTTGGGAGGCCGAGGCAGGTGGATCATGTGGTCAAGAGATCTAGACAATTCTAGCCAGTATGGTGAAACCCCATCTCTACTGAAAATACAAAAATTAGCTGGGCATGGTGGCGCACGTCTGTAGTCCCAGCTACTTAGGAGGCTGAGGCAGTAGAATCGCTTGAACCCAGGAGGCAGAGGTTGCAGTGAGCCAAGATCACGCCACTGCATTCCAGCCTGGCGACAGAGCAAGACTCCATCTCAAAAAAAAAAAAAAAAAAAAGCCAGGCACGGTGGCTCATGCCTGTAATCCCACCACTTTGGGAGGCTGAGGCGGGAGGATTGTTTGTGTTCAGGTGTTCAAGACCAGCCCAGGCAACATGCTGAAACCCCGTCTCAACAAAAGTTGCAAAAATTAGCCGGCTGTGGTGGCACATGCCTGTAGTACCAGCTACCCAGGAGGCTGAGGTAGGAGGATCACTTGAGACTGGGAGGTGGAGGTTGCAGTGAGCAAGTGAATGCACCACTGCACTCCAGCCTGGGCAACAGAATGAGATCCTGTCTTAAAAATAAATAAATAAATAAATAAATAAATAAACAAACAAACAAATAACCTAGGGAATATAAAATGAATAAAACACAATCCCTGTCCTCCATCCTAGGTGAGAGGTAGGACAAGTATAAACATTTAAAAAAAAATGGGGGCTGGGTGCAGTGGCTCATACCTGTAATCCCAGCACTTTGGGAGGCCGAGGCAGGTAGATTGCCTGAGGTCAGGAGTTTGAGACCAGTCTGGCCAACATGGTGAAACTCTGTCTCTACTAAAAATACAAAAAATACAAAAAAAAAATTAACTGGGTGCGGTGGCATGCACCTGTAATCCCAGCTACTCATGAGGCTGAGGCAGGGGAATTGCTTGAAGCAGGGGGGTAGAGGTTGCAGTGAGCTGAGATCGCGTCACTGCACTCGAGCCTGGGCAACAGAGTGAGGCTCCATCTCAAGAAAAAAAAAATGGGTTGCTAAGGGAAGCTCCAGCTATACCCATAATTTCTGAAATTAGGTAACATAGTGCAGCCAGGCCCTTCTGCATCTCTTCCCTGTTACAGACCAAACCTGTTGTCTGAGCTGGTATATCAATGAATATACTTTTGCTTCTTATAACAATTATAGGGGCCAGGCATGGTGGCTTATGCCTGTAATCCCAGCACTTTGGGAGGCCGAGGTGGGCAGATGTCCTGAGTTTAGGAGTTTAAGACCAGCGTGGGCAACATGGTGAAACCCCATTTCTACAAAAAATACAAAAATTATGGCTCACACCTGTAATCCCAGCACTTTGGGAGGCTGAGTCAGGTGGATCACCTGAAGTCAGGAGTTCGAGACCAGCTTAGCCAACATGGTAAAACCTTGTCTCTACAAAAAATTAGCTGGGCATGGTGGCTCACACCTGTAGTTCCAGACACTCGGGAGGCTGCGGCGCGAGAATCACTTGAACCTGGGAGGTGGAGATTGCAGTGAGCCGAGATTGTGTCACTACACTCCAGCTTGGGCAACAGAGCAAGACTCTACCTAAAACAAAACAAAACAAACAAAAAACGAAGAAACAAAAAAAACTAGAATCATTTTTATTATTTTAAAACACTTTGCAAAATGGTGGAGTTCCAACTAAGATTGATCAGCACTTAAGCTGTTTGTCTTTCATTTATACCTCCTAAGATGATGCTTCTTTTACAAAAATAAAATGCCATGTGGATGACTTGCAAATGGCTTATAGTTAGCTTACCTCAAGATCTTATTGCAGTGCCTGCCTTATCATTATTTTTTTAATAATTTTTTTTTTTTTTTGAGACGGAGTCTTGCTCTGTCACCTACGCTGGAGTGCAGTGGCACAATCTAGGCTCACTACAACCTCCACCTCCCAGGTTCAAGCGATTCTCTTGCCTCAGCCTCCTGAGTAGCTGGGATTACAGGCACCCACCATCATGCCCAGCTAATTTTTGTATTTTTGTAGAGATGGGGTTTCACCATGTTGGCCCGGCTGGTCTTGAACTCCTGACCTCAGGTGATCTGCCCTCCTTGGCCTCCCAAAGTGCTGGGATTACAGGCGTGAGCCACCATGCCCAGCTTTATCATCATTTTTACAGCATTTTTTCTTTTGAAGATTATCCTTGAACTGGTCTATTGAATGCCCTTCTAGTTCTCAAATGTATCAAAGCCATTTTAAAATGAAAAGAAAGTGTATTTCCATTTTAGTGGCACTATTGCTACCATTTTTGAGCTCCTACTGTGTGTCGAGTGTTCCACATATGCTATCGCTGATCCTTATATGGAACCTGCAACCTCAGTAATATTATCCCATTTTTTTGAGGAAATAGGCTTACAGAGATTGAAATGTTCGCTTAAAGGCACACCACACTCCTGAACCAAGACTCAAACACATGTCGTCTGTGTAACTCCAAAGCTACTTTACCGAGCAACTTTTCAATTATTGTCTCAGTGTTGGCAGATTCTTCTCTTGAAGGGACCAGTCAAGTAATCATATAGGTGGCCAGGAGTGGTGGCTCACATCTATAATCCCAGCACTTTGGGAGGCTGAGGCAGGTGGATCGCTTGAGTGCAGGAGTTTGAGACCAGCCTGGGCAACATAGTGAAATGCCATCTCTACAAAAACTACAAAAAATTAGCTGGGTGTGGTGGCACACAACTGTAGCTCTAGCTACCTGGGAGGCTGAGGTGGGAGGATCACCTAGCCTGGGGAGGTCAAGGCTTCAGCAAGTCGCGTTTGCACCACTGCAATTGGCCCTGTCTCAAAAAAAAAAAAAAAATCGTCTGTTTGATCTGATGAATAAGTTAGAAAACACTAGTTAGGGACCAAAGCCAACTGTGATATTATATAATGAGTTCTCACATTTACCTTGTGTGGTTTGCAAATTGGCCTTATAACACAATTTAAACTTGTTCTGAGAAATGAACAGTGCAAGAATAAAATTGTAGCCTCACAAGGTCTCAACTTTGGAAAGCAACACCCGTTTGGGTAGATTTGTTAGAAAAGAACATGTCTTGGCCAGGCGCAGTGGCTCACTGCTGTAATCCCAACACTTCAAGAGGCCTAGGAAGATGGATCTCATGAGGCCAGGAGTTAGAGACCAGCCTGGCCAACATGGTGAGACCCTGTCTCTACTAAAAATGCAAAAATTAGCTGGGAGTGGTGGTGCCTGCCTGTAATCCCACCTGTAATCCAGTGATAGAGCAAAACTCTGTCTCAAAAATAAATAAGCAAATAAAAATAAGTCCTCTTAGGATTGTTAAATCCAATTTAAGAGTGCTGAACACTCAGTCACAACATTCTCTCACTCCACAACAGTGGAATTCCCTGGCAACTCTTCACCAGGACTTTGGTGCACCCACTCACTGACAGTAAACTCTGCAGCCTTTTCCTTTTAAGCCAGGTTCTCACTCTAGTCTGTTGCCCAGACTGGAGTGCAGTGGCACCATCATGGCTCACTGCAGCCTTTACCTCCTGGGCTCAAGTGATCCTCCTGCCTTGGCCTCCCAAAGTGCTAGGATTACAGGCCTGAGCCTTTAAAAAGTCTGCAGGTGGCTGGGCGTGGTGACTCATGCCTGTAATCCCAGCACTTTGGGAGGCTGAGGTGGGAAGATCACTTGAGCCCAGGAGTTCAAGGCTGCAATAAGCCTTGATTGTACCACTGCAGCCTGGATGACAGAGTGAGTCCCTGTTTCAAAAGAAGGGGGGGAGGGGGGAAGGGAGAAAGAGGCAACAGCAACAGCTGCAGCCTAATTCCATCAGTTGAATTCTAGGAGACTTGTACATAACTCCATTGAGTTCTCATTATTATCAGGCTTCCCTATAGACAGACAGAAGAGCCACATGCTGCAAATCTTTGGTGGAGGTGTTGCTGTGAGGTTTTCACTAAAATCTGGTAGAAATCTAAGATAAGTATTATTACTCATATTCAAATATACAAGTTGAATATACAGTTCCACAATTCAGATTCTGCAGGGATTGTGAGTCCTGTTCCCAATATCAGTGTAGTGTCATGGAGTAATTATAGCATTCAGTATAACTTGCATATGTTTTGAAAATTCAATAAAACAATAAGAATTGGTTATAAATAGATTGTGGATATAACTAAATTCTCACTACCCTAAAGTTAAAATATCCATTAGAGGCTGGGTGGCTCACGCCTGTAATCCCAGCACTTTGGGAGGCCAAGGCGGGCGGATCACAAGGTCAGGAGATCCAGACCATCCTGGCTAATACGGTGAAACCCCGTCTCTACTAAAAATACAAAAAATTAGCCGGGCGTTGTGGCGGGCGCCTGTAGTCCCAGCTACTCGGGAGGCTGAGGCAGGAGAATGGCGAGAACCCGGGAGGCAGAGCTTGCAGTGAGCCAAGATCACGCCTCACGCCACTGCACTCCAGCCTGGGCGACAGAGCAACACTCCATCTCAAAAAAAAAAAAAAAAAAAAAAAATCCATTCGAGGAGGGGGCAAGTGCTCTCTAATTATCATTAATGATAACAACACCTTGCACTTAACAGTTTTCCCCTGTAAATGAGTTTCAAGTACTGTATCTCATGAGATATCTCTGCTGCAGTTGAACATCTTAAAATGTGCCATGACCTTGGCTTGTGACTCTCCTCTCCTGGTTCTTCTCCGGACCCTGTAATACGTCCTTGTAGGTCCTCTCCTCTGCCCATCATTATCTGTTGGTGTTCCCAGGACTTCATCCCTGACAACTGTTCTCACATTGTGCCACGGTCATCTCATTCACTTGCATGGTTTCACTACTACTACCATCTCCGTGCAGATACTAGCTATTCCCATCTCTCTTTTTTTTTTCCTTGTATGTATTTATTTTTAATACAGGGTCTTGTCACCCAGGCTGGAGTGCAATAGCACGATCTCTGCTCACTGCAACCTGTCTCCCAGGCTCAAGTGATCCTCTCACCTCAGCCTCTCAAGTAGCTGGGATTACAGGCGTGTGCCACCATGCCCAGCCAATTTTTTCAAAAAAATTTTTTTTGTAGAGATGGGGTTTTACCATGTTGTCTGGGGTGGTTTCAAACTCCTGGGCTCGAGCAACCCACCCTCCTTGGCCTTCCAAAGTGCTGAGATTACCGGTGTGAGCCACTGTGCCCGGCCTATTCCCTATTTTTTTTTTTTTTTTAGCGAAGTTTCGCTCTTGCTGCCCAGGCTGGAGTGCAATGTGCAATGACCTGATCTCGGTTCACTGCAACCTTCGCCTCCCAGGTTCAAGCGATTCTCCTGCCTTAGCCTCCCGAGTAGCTGGGATTACAGGCATGTGCCACCATGCCCAGCTAATTTTGTATTCTTAGTAGAGACGGGGTTTCTTCATGTTGGTCAGACTGGTCTAAACTCCCGACCTCAAGTGATCCGCCTGCCTCGGCCTCCCAAAGTGCTGGGATTACAGGCGTGAGCCACTGCTCCCGGCCTCCCATTTATTTATAGTACCACGTTTGGTCCTGAGCTCTGGATTCATATTTCCAACTGCCTGCTGGGCATATGAATATATGCTTGGATGTAACAGTTTCCTCAAACTAAATGACTATAAGATGATTTTTATCTCCTACCGTGTGATCCCTTCCTCACTGAGCCCCACTCATAGCGACCCCCTGGTGGTGGTTTCTCCAGCATACCAACTGCTGCTTCAGCATCTTCACATTTGCTCTTCAATAAACTGAGTAGTTAGAACACTTACCCCAGATATCCTGATGTCTTAGTCAGAGATATGCTCAAACGCCACCTCTTTAGAGAGGTTTTCCATGACCACTTCCTCTAAAAGCAGTCTCTTTTATTTGTCTTCATTATGCTTGTTACCAGCTAACATTATACATGTCTTTGTTTATTGTCCCTCTCCCCAGAAAATAGAAATTCAACAAGGGCAGAATCTTTGTCTCATTCGGTTTTATACCAGGCACATAAGTTGGTGCTCAATGAATTTTTTTTATTATTTTTTTATTTTTATTTGTATTTATTTTTTTGAGACGGAGTCTCCCTCTGTTGCCCAGGCTGGAGGGCAGTGGTGCAATCTCGGCTCACTGCAGTCTCCACCTCCTGGGTTCAAGTGACCCTCCCACCTCAGCCTCCCGAGTAGCTGGGACTACAGGCATGTGCCACCACGCCCAGCTAATTTTTTTGTAGTTTTAGTAGAGACGGGGTTTCACCATGTTTGTCAGGCTGGTCCCAAACTCTTGACCTCGTGATTTGCCCACCTTGGCCTCCCAAAGTGCTGGGATTACGGGCATGAGCCACTGCGCCCGGCTTTTTTTTTTTTTTTTTTTGAGACGGAGTCTCGCCCTGTCACCCAGGCTGGAGTACAGTGGCCCAATCTTGGCTCACTGCAACCTCCGCCCCCCAGGTTCAAGCGATTCTCCGGCCTCAGCCTCCCGAGTAGCTGGGATTATAGATGCCCACCACCGCACCCAGCTAATTTTTGTATTTTTAGTAGAGATGGGGTTTCACCATGATGGCCAGGCTGGTCTCGAACTCCTGACTTCAGGTGATCCACCTGCCTCAGCCTCCCAAAGTGATGGGATTACAGGCATGAGCCAGAACGCCCGGCGGTGCTCAATGAATTTTTGTTAAGTGACTTCATTTACTTGTAATCTTTATCCCTAATCCCAGACTCCTCCTCTTTGCATGTTCTGGTTCCTTTAATAGCATACTCTGCTGAGTGCATTGGTTCATTCCTGCAATCCCAGCACTTTGGGAGGCTGATGCAGGAGGATCCCTAGAGCCCAGGAGTTCAACACCAGCCTGGGCAACATAGGGAGACCCCACCCCTACAAATAATGAAAAACAAAATTAGCTGGGCATGGTGGTGCATGCCCGTGGTCCTAGCTACTGGGAAGGCTGAGGTAAGAGGATCCCTTTAGCCCAGAAGGTTGAGGCTGCAGTGAGCTGTGTTCGTGCCACTGCACTCCAGCCTGGGTGACAGAGTGAGAGTCTTTACCTCAGCTTTACCTGGAGGATCTTAGATGGGTCACATTACTTCTGGAAGCCTTCTTCCTCTTTCCAGAAGGCCTCATCAGATGCACTAATGACAGAATTTCTACAGTTCTTTTAATGAGTACCGGCCGGGCGCAGTGGCTCACAGCCTGTAATCCCAGCACTTTGGGAGGCCGAGGTGAGCTGATCACTTGAGGCCAGGAGTTCGAGAGCAGCCTGGCCAACATGGCGAAACCCCGTCTCTACTAAAAATACTGAAACAGCTGGGCGTGACAGCAGGCACCTGTAATCCCAGTTACTCGGGAGGCTGAGGCACAAGAATCAGCTTGAACCTGGGAGGTGGAAGTTGCAGTGAGCCGAGATCACACCACTGCACTCCACCCTGGGTGACAGAGTGAGACTCTGCCTACCAAAAAAGAGTAGCTTGGTGTGGTGACAATCAGAAATATGAAGGGAATAAAGTTTATGTATATTCTCCTTATTTTATTGTTGCCTGCTTATTCTACGCCAAACATTTGCTGGGGGTTGAAGACACAATGGTGAGCAAGACAGTGACTTCTTCAAAGATATCAAAGTTTAATGGAGGAGACAAAAAAGTAAGCAGGCAATTACAAAACAGGGATAAAGTGCTTTGATTGGGATAAACCCAGGAAAAACAGAAAAGGAACACCTGATCCAGTCTTATGGGATTGGGAAAGGTTTCCTAGAGCAAGTCAGGTATTTGACCTGAAGGCTGAGTAGGAGTTGGCCAGAAGAGTGGAGAGAGAGATGCAGCTTGGAGTGTGCAGGAAAGAGCAAGTGCAGGAAAAGAGGAGGGAACCAGAGCTGGGGAGAGCGGCAGAGGCCAGATCATGAATGACCTCCTCAGAAATCACACCAAAGGAGGTTCACTGTTTGCTGCTGGCAATGGGAAGCATGACAGGGCTTTACACAGAAGAGCGGCATGAAAGGATTTGCCTTTCAGAAAGATTGTTCTAGCAGAAAGGGAGAAAAGACTGACGGGAATCAAAATAGAAAAGAGGAGACTCATTAGGAGGTCGTTTCAGTAAGCGAGATATGGCCCAGTGATGGTCTGAATAATTGCTGCTAATAATTTGAGCCCCGTGATCTCATTTAATCTTTGCAACTCTATGAGGTAGACATAATTACTCCCATTTGCGGATGGGGAATCCAAGGAACAGAAAAGCTAAATAATTGCCCAAAGTCACATGGTAAGTGGTGGCAGTAGAGAGAACCAGGCAGAAGGATCTGAGAACTATTTAGGAGGTGGTATGGGCATGACTGGATACATAGTTACACAGTATTTGTTACTGATTTGGGGAGGGTGGCTAAAGGAACGGGAGTTAAGTATGATGTGCAAGTTTCTAGCTTGGATAAGTGGGCAATGACTGAGTTAGGAACAGGAGAAGCAGGCAGGGAGTAGGGGAAAATGTGGCAAGTTGAGTTCAGGGTTTGATTTCAAGATGTCTGGGTAATTTCCTATTATAATTTTTTAACTTAGTTTTGTTATTTTGTTCATGCTTTGATGGATAATTTCCAAGCAGAGCTGTCCAGAAAGCAGCTGCAGGGGCTGGTGTGAAACTCTGCCAGATTTTGGTGTCATCAGCCTCAATCTTTCCCAAAAGGAAAAAATAAAACAAAACCACTTTTAGAGAAGCTGAAAATGATATAAACTTTGGGAATGAAGCATTTAGAAAAACAGATCATGCAATGGGATTTCCCACGGACCCATTTTAGGTCATTACAGGGTAATTGTCTCCCATTAATTCAGCTGTTTTTCACTAACGATCTTAACAGTCTTTCAGTTCTTGAAGTCTCCTATTGATAAGCAGGGCCTACATCTGCTACTCTACTGCAGAGGTGGGTATCTAACAACTGCTTCCAAAGAGTCAGTTTCTCCCAGGGCTTGGGAACTCCTTTGGGAGCTACACTAACTTCTAAAACACCAGGGAACCACTTAACAAATTATCATTTCAGTGCACTCAGTGATATCCTAACGGCCTGGAAACACAGTCCTAACCTACCTCTAGGGTCTTAGAGAACAGTTCACACAGAAGGAAATTTGCTCAATAATAATAACAATGTCAAGATACTAACATATCAAATAGTCTTAGAGGGAGGCTCTTGAGCTACACTTCTCCAGGTGAATTAGCATCTTCCCTTAACTTTCCTTCCCAGCAATGAAAAATGCTCAACATGCAGTAAGAAGAGTTTTTTGTTTGTTTTTTGCTTTTGTTTTTAAGGTATGAGGTCTTGCTCTGCAGCCTCGAACTCAGCCTCAGCCTCCCAAGTAGTTGGGACTACAGGCGCTTGCTACCACGCCCGGCTAAGAGTTTACATGTATATATACTTTTGGCTGCTCTATAGATAGAGTAGGGTTCACCCACAGGCAGAGTGGCCTAGAGTAGCCTAAATAATATTCTGGGGCCAGGCCTGGTGGCTCACACCTGCAAGCCATCATTTTAGGAGGCTGACTCGGAGCACTTGAGCTGCAGAGTTTGAGACCAGCCTCGGCGAAATATGGAGACCCCATCTCTAAAAAAATAATAAAAAGAATTAGCTAGGTGTAGTGGCACACACCTGTGGTCCCAGCTACTCAGGAGGCTGAGGTGGGGAGGATCACTTGGGCCTGGGGAGGTCCAGGCTGCAATGAGCTGTGATCATGTCACTGCATTCCAGCCTGGGTGACAGAGCAAAACTCTGTCCCAAAAAAAAAAAAAAAAAAAAGTGTTGTGTTTTTTTTTTGATAAAGTTTCTCCTATTGCAAGTCTTGGCTACAAAATTAAAAACATTTCTTTGATATTTATATTCTCCCCCAATGTAAAACACTTCCATCCCTACCTTTGCCAAGGCTGGCTGTCCATTTAAAAAAAGATTTGAGAGAAAATTACTTGTAAGTAATTTGAAAATTGTGGCCACACCCTGGTAATACCTAATTACAGCCTTAGGCAGACTGTACAACTGTTACGAATAGAGAACCTTTGCTTCTAAGAAGTATCTGTTCTAGGAACCCAATCCTAGTGTGGTAGAAACTGTTTTAGTTGTATTTTTGTTTTGTTTTGTTCTTTTGAGATAGAGTCTCGCTCTGCTGCCTAGGCTGGAGTACAGTGGTGTGATCTCGGCTCACTGCAACCTCTGCCTCCCAGGTTCAAGCTACTCTCCTGCCTCAGCCTCCCGAGTAATGGGGATTACAGGCGCATGCCACCACGCCCAGCTAATTTTTGTATTTTTACTGGAGATGGGGTTTCACTATATTGGCCACACTGGTCTCGAAATACAGACCTTAGGTGATCCACCCGCATCAGCCTCCCAAAGTGCTGGGATTACAGGCGTGAGCCACCGCACCCAGACTTAGTATTCTTAATGAATACTCCAAAATATCTCCTTAAAGCAACAAGGCCTTCTCTCATTTTTCTTTTTGGATTTTTTTTCCTTCCCCAAAGCTAATGAGTCACCCATACCAAATATTCCTATGTGGCTTCTGTCACCAGCATAACCTTCGTAGAAAACTACTCAGGTTTTTTCATCTTCCCAAGATATGGCAATAACCAAAGGGCTCAAGATACTGTACTCCCAAATTCCTACAGAACATCTGTGTAATATATCTGTACATCTGTACGGAATGCATCAGTGTAAAGACAATCATGCCCAATTTTAATGACTCTGATGAAAAGCCATTAAATGAATCAGTGCTGGGTTACTAAAATAATTCTCAGGTTTGCTGACTTTAAAAATTATATTTTTAATTATAGAATATTGTTAGAATAATACAAACACTAGGATAACTGTGACCAATACCATAAGGAAAACTGTTCTACATATTGATTTGTTCATTAATTCTCCACAACCATAGAAAACAGGCACAAAGTGTTCACGGGATGTGCAGAGGCAGCCAGGGACTTGGGAGCAGAAGGCATGCAAAAAGCATTAGTGAAGGGAGTCTGATGCATGAGTTCTATACAAAGTTCAACACAGCAAACGGGCAACAATTGGCAGAAAGAGGAGACAGCTGGTGTGGCCCTTGTCCCTTAAGTTTCCCAGCTAGATTGTTCATGTATGGAGATAGCTGGGTGCTTAGAAGCCTTGTTTTAAGCCCTTCACCTCCAAGAAGCCAAAAGCAGCAGCAGGAACTGGTTGGGGTGGGGCAAGAACAGTAGGGAAGGAAAAGGGGGTGAAATACAGTTAGGTCATGGAAATGCGGTCATCTATGGCCACTCCCAAGCTGATACCCATAGTGGCTCACAGAAGCAACAGGAGAACTTTGACATTTATTAAAACCATCAGCAACATATATGAGAAAAGACATATTTGAGTTTAGTTACCAAGAACATGTGTCACCCGACAATTAAAATATGGATACCCACAGTCTGCTAGATTTTGTAAATAACAAAAAAACATGCTCCTTGCCTGAGTTTGTCCTTAAAAAGGAGTGGCAACATGAAGGAACCCCCCTGGAAGATGGGTTACTTTAAAGGTTGTGTTATTAACAAGTGATGTGGTCCCACACAGCTGTGGGTCACAATAACTCATTATAGTACCCACCCAGAGAGACCACTGGCTCCTTTAACACCAAGTCCTAAAAAGCTATGGCAAAACATTTTTAAAATGTTACAACATTCACAATAAAGAACAGTAGCAATAAAGCACAGTAGAAATAAACTGGGGGTACTCTCAAAAGAAAAGATATTCCTCACTCCAGTCCCATTTTCTGGGCACCAATTCCCTTCCACCCCAACATGCTTGGATAGCATCAACACTTGAGATATTTCTTAATTCCTACCTGGACTGAGATTAGGAAAACTGACACTACTGGGCTTAAATTGGGCGAACTGTTATTTTAACCTCTTATATCTGTAGGGTGGGAGGATGGAAATACATTCCTACCGAGGTTCGTTAATTCCTTCTGACTAAGCCAAAGAGTTCTTCATTACCATAGAAGATAATTCATTCTGAGAATAGGACAATCGACCTATTTGTCTGGTCATTATCTTCCACAATTGACAAACACATACAAACAAGTGCTTAGCTCTGTACAAAGACAGACCTTACAGGAGAGTGCACACTAAAGCACTAGTGTTTAAATTATTTTCCATAATGAAAAAAGGACATTTCTCACATTGGAGTTATGTCTGTACTTCTGTCACATGACTCACATCACCCAAGAACATGCTAAGTCTCTGTAAATTCAGTTTCTATTAGAAAAACCACAGGAATACACATTACTGTACATACACATGCCCTGATGCAAGCTAAGATAAACACTGGGATGTGGCCCTTATCAAATCTTAGAGTTAGCAGGATAGGAAGAGTTGATCTTAAAGATTAGAAGGGAAAGAACACAGAAACGACCTACATTCCTTGGGAAGGGACTCTGTGGTTCCTTCCCTGAAGGACTCAATTCCACTTGCTCCTTACACTTAACTGTCACTGATGGTCCTATCTTTTCTTGAAGATATTTTCTATACAATATTCCCTATAGTGATCCCCAAAGAAAATTCATAAATCTGATTAATGGCAGTAATAACTGTGGGCATCTTCTGCTAAAGTCACCATCATTGATGGGTCCTTGGTCCCCAAACCTGTGTCTCATTTTTCCTTTCCAACCGTATCTTCAGTTAGCCTTCACAAAGATGCAAGCTTTAAAGGAGCTAATTAGAAACAATGAGAAGGAGAAAAGTTACAATCATTGCCTTCATCGTGCAAAATCTTGCCCTCAGGAAGATGGAAAAGATACAAATGCATGAGCAACTCAAGGAAAAAGCCCTTTGGAAGGGAAGATGTGTGTGCCCAACTACTATGGTGTGTGAATAGGTGTGGCAATTTAGGCAGAGTCTCTAGTTGCCTTTTTCCAAAGCAGCCATTACCACCCTATTACAGTCCCACGTTTCACTTAGCATAGTTCCTTGGGCCAAGGATGGGAGAAAATAACATTGAAAGATTTACTCCATTTCCAGGCCTAAGCATTCACCAGCATTTGTCCCCTGGTCTTCAGATTTCCAGTTACTTGTGGGGCTGCTTTTAATGAAGTAACCCATTGAGTGAATAAAAATCACCATTTTGGAGGAGATAACATTCCCAAAGCTGAGGGTCAGAATTTCAAATGGCTTGTCATCTCTGATGGTTTAAATCGTGGCCCACAACTAGGAGAGTATGATAAAAGCAGCTCAGTCTTGAGGGCGTTCATTGATATCAAATAAAATTGTATCTTCAAATGAATCATTTCTCAGCCATCATAATTACAGCTTAGTCCGTATGAACTCTCTTATGTTTAATAAGAGCTGAGCTCCTGCTGAAACTCTTCTCACATTCGGTACATTCATAAGGTTTCTCTCCCGTGTGAACTCTTTGATGTGTGATGAGGTTGGAGCTCTGGGTGAAACCTTTCCCACACTGCACACACTCGTAGGGCTTCTCCCCTGTGTGGGTTCTCTGATGTTTAATTAGATCTGACCTTTCACCAAAGCTTCGCCAACACTCATTACACTCATAAGGCTTCTCTCCAGTGTGAATTTTCTGGTGTGTGATGAGATGAGAGCTCCGGCTGAAGCTTTTCCCACAAGCATTGCATTCATATGGCTTCTCTCCAGTGTGAGTTCTCTGGTGCTGAACCAAGTGTGAGATGCGGCTGAAATTTTCCCCACATTCGTTACAGTGGTATGGCTTCTCTCCCGTGTGGGCTCTGCGATGACGCACAAGGTCGGAGTTCTGACTGAAATTCTTCCCACACTCATCACACTTGTAGGGCCTCTCCCCTGTGTGGACTCGATAGTGTTTGATGAGATCAGATCTCTCACTGAAGCCTCGGCCACATTCGTTACATTCATAAGGTTTCTCACCCGTGTGGGTCCTCTGGTGCTGAGCTAGGTGAGAGCTCCGGCTGAAGCTTTTCCCACACTCCTCACACTCATAGGGTTTCTCACCACTGTGGGTCCTTTGGTGTTGGATTAGGTGAGAGAGACGGCAGAAACTTTTTCCACACTCATTACATTTGTGAGGCTTCTCTCCAGTGTGGATTGTCTGATGCTGAATCAGGTGAGAACTTCTTCCAAAACTTTTCCCACACTCGTTACAGTCATAAGGCCTCTCCCCAGTATGTGTTCTTTGATGCTGAATAAGGTGTGAGCTGCGACTGAAGCCTTTTCCACATTCATAACATTTATAGGGTCTGTCTCCAGTGTGGGTCTTCTGATGTCGATTAAGGTCTGAGATCTGACTGAAGGCCTTTCCACAATGAGAACATATATGATAGCGGATGCCTGTGTGGACTTCTTTGTGGACAAGTAGATCAGTGACTGGTTGGAGAGGATAGCTTACCCACTCTTCTGCTGTTAAATCTCCCCATTGTCTTTCTGACCTATCTCCGCTTTCAAAGCCCTCTTCACTTTCAGGATTTTCCTCAGCATTCTCAGCAGGTCTTTCAGATGTAGTCCCAAATTGTACATCTTCACTAATCTCTTGCTTGGGATTTACCTCGTTCTCACTCCTGATCTCAAAATCTGTAATAAAAAGTAAACAATAAGACTAGTAAGTACAAAAATTACCTATTGTGTGCCAGGCACTATACTAAATTTTTTTTTTTTTTAGACAGAGTCTCACTGTGTTGCCTTGGCTGGAGTGCAGTGGTGTGATCTTGGCTCACTGCAACCTCTGCCTCCTGGGTTCAAGCAATTCTCCTGTCTCAGCCTCCTGAGTAGCTGGGACTACAGGTGCACGCCACCATGCCCGGCTAATTTTTTTATTTTTAGTAGACACAGGGTTTCACTATATTGGTCAGGCTGGTATTGAACTTCTGAGCCACTGTGGCCAGCCTAAATTATTTATATTCTTCGTCACATATATTCTTTATCACAGCTATTCTGAGAGTCAGGAATTGTGATTATTTCTACTTCATTAATGAGAAATCCAAGACCCAGACAAGTGAATTGACTTGCTCAAGGCCATAGTAAATGGTAGAGCCAGTATTCAAACTCAGGTCTGTCAAAATTCACATTCTGTATCGCTGTAATTAATGATTCATTAAGAAAACTATACAGGCCAGGTGCCGTGGCTCACGCATGTAATCCTAACACTTTAGGAGGCCAAGTCAGGAGGAACACTTAAGGCCAGGAGTTCAAGACCAGCCTGGGCAATATAGGGAGAACCCATCTCTACAAAAAAATTTAAAAAATTAGGTGGATGTGGTGGCATGCAACTGTAGTCCCAGCTACTCAGGAGGCTGAGGTAAGAGGATCACTTGAGCCCAGGAGTTCAAGGCTGCAATAAGCTGTGATTGTGCCACCGCACACCAATATGGGTGACAGAACGAGACCCTGTCTCTTAAAAAAAAAACTATATATATTCGTGTTTTGAAAGAACACTGGAAGCAGAAAATATGAGACTCTAAATTAGAATATCTAAAAGGCAAGATTCTAGGTATTTTGTGAGTATGTATTTTTTAACTTGCCAAGCCTTCATCATTAGTAGCATCATAAAATATTTACTAAGAAGCCACTATGTTTTTGTTTGTTTGTTTGTTTTGTTTTGTTTTTTGAGATGGAATTTCACTCTTGTTGCCCAGGCCGGAGTGCAATGGCGCAATCTCCGCTCACTGTAACCTCTGCCTCCTGGGTTCAAGCGATTCTCCTGCCTCATCTTTCCGAGTAGCTGGGATTACAGGTGCCCGCCACCACATCCAGCTATTTTCTTGTATTTTTAGTAGAGACAGGTTTTACCATGTTGGCCAGGCGGGTCTTGAACTCCTGATCTCAGGTGATCTGCCCGCCTCAGCCTCCCAAACTGCTAGGATTACAGGCGTGAGCCACCGTGCCTGGCCAGAACCAACTATGTTAATATGGAGAAAAATGAATCTTTACCTATGTCATAGTTGACAGAAAAGTGACTGACAAATGTCACTTCCTACTTTTCAGTGACCTTTTAATGAAAATAGGAGTGGGAAAGTTGAAGAAGGCAAAAAAGATGTCTGGCTGAGAACATTCTTGGCATTGTCTAAGTATATTTCACATGCAGTCTTCAAATGAAAATCAAAATACACAACCACTGTCTACAAGGAGTTTTATACCAGACACTGCATTCTCCAAATTGGGTTTCTTAGTACACTCTTCAGAAAGAAAGTATGTATTTTGGGAGAAAAGGGTTCATGGATAAACTGGGTTGGTAAATGGTACATACAATATCATTTCCTTCAAAATTCACAATGCCTAATAACACATTAAAGGTTCTAAGGAATCCTGAGGTAAAAAGGCCTTATAAGGCCAGATGCAGTAGCTCAGGCCTCTAATCCCAGCACTTTGGGAGGCTGATGCAGGAGGATCACTTGAGCCTAGGAGTTTGAGACCAGCCTGTGCAACATAGGGAGGTCTCACTTCTATTAAAAATAAAAAGAGGCAGGCCGGGCGCGGTGGCTCACGTCTATAATCCCAGCACTTTGGGAGGCCGAGGTGGGCAGATCACGAGGTCAGGAGATCGAGACCATCCTGGCTAACACGGTGAAACCCCATCTCTAAAAAAAAAAAACGCAAAAACTAGCCGAGTGTGGTGGCGGGCACCTGTAGTCCCAGCTACTCAGGAGGCTAAGGCAGGAGAATGGCGTGAACCTGGGAGGCAGAGCTTGCAGTGAGCTGAGATCGCGCCACTGCACTCCAGCCTGGGCAACAGAGCAAGACTCCATCTCACAAAAAAATAAATAAATAATAAAAAAATAAAAAGAAGCTGAGCATGGTGCCTGACACCTGTATTCCTAGCACTTTGGGAGGCCGAGGTGGGCGGATCACTTGAGGTCAGGAGTTCAAGACCAGCCTGACCAACATGGTGAAACCCCGTCTCCACTAAAAATACAAAAATTAGCTGAGCGTGGTGGCATGCACCTGTAATCACAGCTAGTCGGGAGGCTGAGGCAGGAGAATTGCTTGAACTCAGGAGGCAGAGGTTGCAGTGAGCCAAGATTGGGCCACTGCACTCCAGTCTGGGCAACAGACTGAGACTCTGTTTCAAAAAAATTAATTAATTAATTAATTAATTTAAAATTTTTTAAAAAATAAAAAGAATTAGCCGGGCAAGGTGGTACGCATCTGTGATCCCAGCTACTCAGGAAGCTGAGATGGGAGGATGACCTGGGCCTGGGAAGTCAAGGCTGCAATGAGTTGTGATCGTGCCACTGCACTCCAGCCTGGGCAACAGAACAAGATCCTGTCTCAAAAAAAAAAAAAAAAAAGCCTTGTAATCATTTTTAAACCCATTCCCATTCCCAAACTTATTTGGGCAAGAAACCAGTTTTTTGGCGCTTTCATCCTTCTAACAAGTGCTTTTGGGGCTAAACTGTAGAATTGTAAATTCACATTTTTTAAAGATTGTCATTTTTTGCTTTTGTTGGATTCAGTGGAATATTTGGGTTACAGACTGCAATAGATCTGGATAGATAACTATTTATGGTTACTTTTATAAAGAAAGGATTCAAGAAACTAGGGACATCAGAGAAAGCTCAAGTTAAAAAGGAAAGCCCTCAGAGTTGCCTTTTGTTCTGAAAAAGGCTATGGGAATAAAGATTTCAAAAACAGGATTAATCCTAATGAATGGCAAATGACCTAGTGACCCATACACGCTTGCTAATGTCTGTCAAGTCTTGACAGGAGGCAAAGTGAGGCAAAGTGAGTCAAAAGACCGTTCAGCTCAAGAATATACTCTTTATTCTAGTTACACCCAGACCAAAGTACAGCAAAGAGAGAAGACAGGCTTGCAGACCATGAAAAAAAAATCAGCTGCCCTCTCTAATAGAATTTGTGATCTATTTCAGCATTCTTCTGGAACAGCATTTGACACACTACAAATCTATCATCATCAACACTGAAACATCTCTAGATGAGAATCTACTCAGCTAAGGAACTTGAGGCAAAGCTAGGGCTCTGAAGCCAAAACAAACACAAAAAGGTGGCTTTCGCCCTCCCATGAACCTGGGTTAGAATCCCCTCATCTTTTAGCACCCTAGAGTAAAAGCACTAGTTACGGGGCATTTATATTCTGGCAAGCACTATTATGCCAGACCTGTTTGGTCAGTGATCTGTACAAACAGGCTGGAGATTGGAAAATGACTCAGGGCACAAGAAATCTGAACGTCTAAGACGTGCAGAAGCAGTTTTTTTCTTTTTAGACAATATGACCTGGATGTTCCCATATTCAAAGATCTGCCTGAGGACTCAAGTCAAGCCAATATCCAATTAAGTGCTTTAAAAAATCAAACCACTAGGCTGTGTTGAAAGAACTAAGTCATTTTGACACGATCTCAAAAACGTGGAGGCAAAGAAAGGTAGAATCCTTACTTACCTAGTGAGACAACATTTCCATAATTCTCCTGCATAACATCCCGGTAAAGGTCCCTCTGTGCAGCGTCCAGAGGTCTCCATTCTTCCCGGGTGAGATACATGGCCATATCTTCAAACGTCACAGGTGCCTGAAATCACACGATACTTCCCTACTATTCTGTATTTAGGACTTCTTGAAATTAGAAACATGATTAGAAATATTCAGGAGGAAAAATATATTAAATGTGACCTATAGAGTCCAAATAAGAAATAAACAAGCAAAAAAGAGATGTGGTAAAGAAGGCAGCAATTTATGAGCTGATTGCTCTGGTCCCATGGCCAGCTATCCCTGCCCCACTCAGGAACTTTATCCTCTGGCTGTGACTTTCTCAGGACATATCTGGCACTTGCATCGCTCCATACCTTTACTCATAATGTTCCTCTTTTCCTGGAATATTCTTCTCACACTAGAGAAATTCTACTACTCTTTAAGGTCCCGCTGCAGTACTAACTGTTCTTCAATGCCCCCTACCCCTCTGCACGGCTCCACTCCCCTTGGATGCCCCAGATAGACTTAATCACGCCGACTTCTTGGGAGTGATTCCCACACTACAGCACTTTGTTCCTACAGCAAGTAGAGCACTTACTACGTTGTGCCACGCTTAAGTGGATGCGCCTTTCTCCCTACAGATTGTGAACTGTGAGCTGTGAGCTAGAAGGTAGCGCCCATCTCGTCCATCTTTTATCTCCCCAGTATTTAAAGGCATACAGCAGGTGTTCGATATATGTTTGTTTGTGACTATACTGGCCTGGTACTAGGCCCCTGGAGGCAGAATATCGAAGCCAGCGAATTACTAATCCCAGGGAATTTCCCACAGGGACTTGCAGAGCAGAGAAACGCCGGACGAGGTGGGTAAGCAGAGACAAGGTCTGAGAAGCCACCTCCGGCTTACCTGGGACCCAGCCATGAGCAGGGTGGCTGCCATCTCGAGCACAAGGGTTCGCCTCCAGGGAGAGAGAGCAGGAAAAGCAGCTAGCAGACAGCGCTGAAGGAGGCGAAAAGCAGGGCGTGAGGCACGGAAAACAGGCCCTGCCCACTCCCCAGGGCTGGAGTTCTGGCCCCAAGGCGGGCAGGGAGGGCCCTGGACCAGGGCCGGGTCACTCTCCTCCCTGACCCTCGAGCGCGACCCGCCCTCTGCGTCTCCGCCACAGCGGGGTGGAGGCAATGCCGGAATCTACTAGGACAGCCCCCTGGCTGGGTCCCTCCCGCGCCGGGGGTTAGACCGCTGCTGTCTCAGGGAGGAGGTGCTCAGCTCAGCCCAGGGAACGCCTCCGCTCTGCCATCTCGAGGCCGGGTCCTTTCCGGCAGCTGCCTCAGCCAATCAGCGAGCGAAGTTCGTGAACCACTCTGCCAATCAGAGGCGGAACACTATGCCCGCCTCCCACAGCCTGGCCAAGAGCCTCTAGTGCGCCTGTGCCTGCCCCCATGGCCTGCCGGGAGTTGGAGTTCCACTCCCGCGTACAAAAGCTAGCCAGAGGCCAAAAGCCAAGGAGGGAAAAGAACAAAAGGGTGAAAAAGTAAGCGCGTCCTCCCAGTCAGGGCGGAGTATTCTCGCTTTTTTCTTATGGAGACTGCAGCACGATTAAGCTAGAGGCTGCCCTGCTTCGCCTCACGTCCCTAGAAGCTTCTCTTGAGTCGGGCCTTATTATCTGCGAAGTCAGGCCAATTTAGGCGCTGGCCTGTGTTGAGCTGAGCTAGAATGAGCCCCTGCTTGACAGCACAGGCTGGAGAGGGAAGCGGCAGCCGCCCACTCCCCAGGGGAGACTCGGAGGCCGCGCTGGAACTTTGAGCCCCGCCCACGCACTACATCTCCCAACAGCGCCTGCGGCGGCGCGGCTCTGTACGCAATACAACTCCCGAGAGGCCCCGCGCCGCCCCGCGCCGGGGCGACTCGGGAGTGCGGTCGGCAGTAGAGCCTGGCGGTGTCTTGGCTTCGGCGCTTTAACCCTGTAGGGGCGTGCGACTGCGTCCTTCTCAAGGGGGCGCCCCTCGAGCGGCGGGCTGAGTGGCGTCCAGCGGCGGGGAGGCGAAAACCCTGGGGGACTCAGAAGCGGGTGGCGGTGTAGGGCGTGTAAGGAGGAGATAGCCAGGCCCCTGCGGGGGGGGCGGGCCCTCCTTAGCGTCCCAGAGGGCTTGTCTGCTACAGGGGCTCCCAGCGGCCTCCCGCACCGAAGGGACCCTGGGCGTCTGAGGCCCTGATCCGGGCGGGCCTTCAGGATGTTAGCAGTCCCTGTCCGGTTGAAGGTAGGAAGCCGAAAACCCGAGTGGGGGACGAACAGACTTACCTCCTGTCCCGCAAAAGATCCACTAGATCGTCGTCTCCAAAACCTGAGAGACCGCGAACGGGTTCCAGAGCCGCAGCGTTCTCTCAGACCTGGCGTTCAGGAAGATTCTAGAGAGCACGGGCAGGTCCCGGAGGTCTCAGACCCGCAGGTAGATCTCGAATTCGTAGACTTGCAGGCGAAGCCCAGATATCGTAGGCTGATCCTAAAGACTCAGATTCCCGAGGCCTCAGACTCGCAGGCAGCTCAGAAACCACAGGCTCATAGGCAGATCCCTGAGACCACAGAGGCTGGCCGAGAAACCACCAGCAACTAAGCTGCATTCAGCTGGAGTTCCTCGGAACGGGAGGACTCGCAGCTCTCCCTTTCCCCAGCCAGGATGAGGGAATTAGACAATGGAAGTCGAGCACTGGGGAAAGCAGGCATTCTGCGTGGGGAAGAGCTCCCAGCTCGCTGTAGCCTTGGAGAGGGAAGTGATGGAAAAAGAATATAGCAGCTTATTAGGGACTCCCACCCTCTTCAAGTTATAAATATCCCCAGAACCTTGGCTACGTGCCCGGAAGCCTGTTGTCTCTAACTGTACAGGAGACTTCTCTGCCTGGGCTGGGAAAGGGGCCTTTCTTTTGTTTTGCAGATAGATCCACCCACTGAGGAACTTGAAAATTTTTTTCAAACATAACTCCAGGCCTTGCTTTTATTAGTGAGTGTCCTGTTCCCAGTGCCCGGTTATTTATGATTAAATTACTGAAGTGTCTAAAAAGAACAGAAGGACCCACCCCAGCCATAATGCAGACTTTCCCATTCCTTCTCTTTCCACCCGCAACTGTGGGGCTAAGAATTCTTAAGATGTCACAGAATTATACCATCCTACCTCATCTAAAGTCGATCCGAGGCTGGTCCGATGGTAGTGGGTTACCAGAACTTAATAACATTAATAACTCTAAAGTTAGTATACAACCCCCCACTGCTAAATTTGGCTATAAAAATAAAATTGATCTGAGCACCATATAAAATGGAATCCTGGAGGGTCCCCTAGAGGCAGTATCCCCAGTGGAAAGAGCGTGGGCCTCAAGGTCAGACAAGCCTGGTTTGGAATCCAGGCTGTGTATCCTTTGGAAAGTCATTGAATCCAGGCCCATTTCCTTTTCTCTAAAATGAGGGTCATCATACCTAAGGATGTTGTGAGGCGTGAGTGAGATGATTAAAGCGTTCCAGAGAGTGCGCTCTTGGATGATAGCCGTTACTTTTTATTAACCCTGGCTTTGGTGGTAAGGGAAACTTCCAGAAATGCTTGTGGGTATATTGGATAGCTCAGAAAATCTGGGAAATCAAAGTGGCTCAATAGCTGTGAGGAACTGTGGGTGACTTTATCCTCACATCGTGTTTCTTCCAGAAATTCAGACGCAACAGAGGTTAGGCCAGTTTGGTGGGTTCCAGTGAGCGGTGTGTTGAGCCTAGTAGAGCATAGGTACTTGGGGTTGCCAAAACCCCAGCAAGTTGAGGCTTCACGCTCAGGGAAACTTCTGGGTCAGAGGTTAATAACCACGCTCCTTGGAGCAAGGAGGAGGGGAGCCTTTCTGACTAGCTGAAGTAATTGCAGGTTTCTAACTGGGCCTAAGGTGAGCTGAGGGCTTGAGCCCCTCAGCCCAGCGGGGGTCCCTTTTCATCCCTTCTCTGACAGATTGCTTTGTAAACTTTCTTAGGCCTTCCCCCCACCCCTTTGCCCCAGTGCTTTAAGCCCTTCTTTGTCTTCTTGCTGTTTCTTTTATTCCTCAGGCCTGCGGGGCGGGGGCGGGGTGGCGCCCAGGACGACTCCCCGGGCTCAGCTTGGCTGCCTGCCTCCTTCTGTAAGTGCTTTTTTTTTCTTCACCTGGGACCCTCTAGAGGTTGGAAAGAGAAGAGAGGCTGGGAGCGGATGGAAAGCATGACTGCATCTGGAGCCCCTGGGGGGAGTGGGGAAGAGGGAGTGGAAGGACAGTGGCTGAGGGGCTTCCTGTTGCAGCCTTCAGCTGGACTCAGGGTTGGGGTCACTGGAGGAGGAGGTGGCTTCCTGCCCCATTGTTCTGGACTGCAGTGTTTCTTGGGAATACTTACTGTATGTGGATTTTCAGTAACCAACTTGGAAAGCTGTATTTGTTCCCATGATTCAGCAAACAATGAGTACCTACTGTGTGTAGAAGCAGCAGGACAGCCTGTCATCACTGGGAAAGAGGCCAGAAGAGCCGTTTGGCCAGGGTCTCCAATTTAGGCTTTCAACATTATCTCTAAAGAAGGTTATACATTATGTCGGCTCCACTGGCTGATGGGATCAAAGACCCTCCTTGTATATCCTTAAACCTGTACTCTATTACCAGGCCACTGTGCCTGTGGAGCACTGTAAGTTCCTACCTTTTAATAAATTTTATAATTATCTTGTGAGCAGCACAATTGTCATAGTTTTTTGTATCAGAAACATTAATTTGTTAAACATTTTAAAACATGCCTTGATGTGTGTAATCCTGTTTTGTCATCTCTTCATTTTCAAACAGATGGGGCACCTCAAAAAATCAAAATGACCTGGGCTTCTCGTGAGCCCTGCTAGGAGGGGTGATAAAGGCTCATCACTGCACAAGGAGTTGGGGACGTGGGGGACACACTGACTTGCAAACAGTCATTGCAGTCCAAGTGCTATAATAAGGGGTGAGCTCGTCTGCACCCAGGAGTGGGTGGACTCCTAGCTGGCGGGGAAGGGGGGAGGCTTCACGGAGGAGGTGACGTCTGAGCTGGTAAGACTGTAGGAGTTTGGAGGTGGAGAAGGTGGGAGGGAAAGCATTCCAGTCTTCAAGAACAGCATGTGCGAAGGCACGGAGGCGTGAAAGGCCAGAGCATGTTCCAGGCTGGTCAGGATTGGTTATGGCTAGAGGGAATAGTGTGGGGGTGGAGCAGCAGGGGGAGGAAGCAGAGCACGGAGAGTCTCCTATGTCCCCTTGCCTGTCTCCCTGTTTGTCTCTGCCTTTGGCTGTGAATCGCAATGCTAATGATGAGGTAAAGATGCGGGGCTGCCCAGGGACTGGCCTGGGGTGAGGCAGCAGATTGACTCTGCAGAGGAGGGGGAAGTGGAGATGATTGGGAAGCTCTTATGACCTCATGCATTTCAGCTGGTTTTCTCCAAAAAGAATCAATATTTTCTAAAAATGTAGACAATTGCATTAAAAATGCAATACAAACTTATTTAGTATTATTTGGCCTACTTAAAGATATCAAACAGACCCATACTCACTGAACCCTATTCTGTAGCAGCTGCTGAGCTGGGAAATAGGACACCACCCCTCACGACTGCAGGGCTGCTGCGTGGATTAAATGTGAGAATGGTACAGAGGATGGCCTTGGCATACCATGGCCATCACTATTATGGGGGGAGGAAAAACACATCACAGATGTTCTGTGAGGTGAACATATTGCAAAGTGGCTCAGAGCATGACCTGGGCTCTGGGTTCAAATCCAGGTTCTTTCTCCAAAAACAAATGACTTGGCTCACGCCTGTAATCCTAGCACTTTGGGAGGCTGAGGTGGGCGGATCATGAAGTCAGGAGTTTGAGACAAGCCTGATCAACATGGTGAAAGCCGTATCTACTAAAAATACAAAAATTAGCTTGGTATGGTGGCATGGGCCTGTAATCCCAGCTACTCAGGAGGCTGATGCAGGAGAATTGCTTGAACCTGGGAGGCGGAGGTTGCAGTGAGCCAAGATTGTGCCACGCAGTCCAGCCTGGACGACAGAGTGAGATTCTGTCTCAAAAAAAAAAAAAAAAAATTACTCTCAGAACCTTAGTTTTCTCAGTCTGCAAAGACTATAATAATACAAATTCATAGAAAGTAGAATAGTGCTTTCCAGGGCTTGAGGGGAGGAGGAAATGAGTTATTTAAGGAGTATAAAGGTTCAGTTTGCAAGATGAAGAGTTCTAGAGACTGGTTGTACAACAGTATGAATGTACTTAACCTTACTGAACTATATACTTAAACATTTTTAAGATGGGCTGGGCGCGGTGGCTTATGCCTGTAATCCGAGCACTTTGGGGGGCTGAGGCGGGTGGGTCACATGAAGCCAGGAGTTCCAGACCAGCCTGGCCAAGGTGTTGAAACCCCGTCTCTACTAAAAATATGAAAGTTAGCTAGGTCTGGTGGTATGCACCTGTAATCTCAGCTGCTTAGAAGGCTAAGGCACAAGAATCACTTGAACCCACGAGGCAGAGGTTGTAATGAGCCGAGATCGCGCCACTGCTCTCCAGTCTGGGCAACAGAGAGAGACTGTCTCAAAATAGATTTTTAAAAAACTGCTAAGGTGGTTTATGTCATGTGTAGTTTACTACAATTTTTAAAAAACAGTATAATAATAGTAACCTAGTTCATGAGGTCAGAGGGCTCACTGAGGCAATCAATGTAATGTGCTACCCTGCACTCATAGTAACAATAGCTAATATTTACTAATCAGTCACTATGTGTCAGGCCTGATTCTGCTGCTCTCTTTGTATTAACTAAATGAATCCTCACAACAACCCTTTGAGCTAGGAGCTGTTATTACCACTGTTTAACCGATGAAACCAGAAGCATGCAGAAGTTGTATAATGTGCCCAAGATATCCAGCTAGTAAATGCTCAATGATTAATAGATATTACTGACACTGTCATACAAAGAAATTTTAAAGGAATCATCATCATGAAGGTTGAATGCAATGTGTGCTAAGAGAATTTCACGATGCTATGGGAGTTCTGAGGAACCATCTCATGTTGCTAGGGGATCGGAGACCTCATAAGAAGATGTGCATCTGAGGTGAGCCTTGAAGAATGGATAAGATTTGGATCTGGCTGAGGAGAAGGAAGCAGTATAGGTATTCACAAATGGGAAGGCCCATTGGGTATTCAAACACAGGGCAAATATCTCCTTTAGCCTGGAGCATAAGGGACAGCAGAGGTGGACGATGAACCACCAAAGCCAAGCAGAGGGCAAGGGCCTGTCAGGCCTCTGAGCCCAAGCCTGCACGTATACATCCAGATGGCCTGAAGTAACTGAAGAATCACAAAAGAAGTGAAAATGGCTGGTTCCTGCCTTAACTAATGACATTACCTTGTGAAATTCCTTCTCCTGGCTCAGAAGCTCCCCCACTGAGCACCTTGTGTCCCCCACCCTTCCCCCTGCAGAGAACAACCCCCTTTGACTGTAATTTTCCATTACCTACCCAAATCCTATACAACGGCCCCACCCCTATCTCCCTTCACTGACTCTCTTTTCGGACTCAGCCCGCCTGCACCCAGGTGAAATAAACAGACTTGTTGCTCACACAAAGCCTGTTTGGTAGTCTCTTCAGACGGACGCGCGTGACAGGGCCCATCGGCACAGTCAGACATAAAAGCCTCTAGGCCCCCTCGCCACCCCCAGAAAAGGCAGAGGGCAGATAGAGCTTTGAAAATCAAACCAAATAGTTGAATTTTGATAGCTGGTGGAACCTGCTGAAGACAAGGAATGATGCTCAGAGTCAGGCAGGGTAGATGCAGGGAAGATAGTGCTCTGAGTTGGAGGATCAGTAGAAGACCTTTGCACCAGTCCTAGAAAAAAAAAAAACCTGGGCCGGGTGCAGTGGCTCATGCCTGTAATCCCAGCACTTTGGAAGGCCAAGGCAGGCGGATCACAAGGTCAGGAGATCAAGACCATCCTGGCTAACACGGTGAAACCCCGTCTCTACTAAAAATACAAAAAATTAGCCAGGCGTGATGGAGGGTGCCTGTAGTCCCAGCTACTCAGGAGGCTGAGGCAGGATAATGGCATGAACCCAGGAGGCAGAGCTTGCAGTGAGCAGAGATCGCGCCACTGCACTCCAGCCTGGGTGACAGAGAGAGACTCCATCTCAAAAAAGAAAAAAAAAAAGAAAAGAAAAAAGAAAAAGAAAAAAGGAAACCTGAAAGGCCATGTTGACAGTGATGGGAATGGAGATAAGGGTTGGTCAAGGGAGAGACTATAGAATTGGGAAATAAGAGAAGAGGACAAGGGGAAAGAGTCACAGATGGTTTTAAGGAATGAATTATCTGACAAATAGGAAAGACAGAAGAGGGGACCAAAGAAAGAAAAGATGCATGGGGTGCAGTGGCTCACGCCTGTAATCTCAACACTTTGGGAGGCCCAGGTGGGAGGATCGCTTGAGGTCAGTCAGGAGTTGGAGACCAGGCTTGGTAACATAGGGAGACCCCCCTCGCATGCCCATCTCTACAAAAAAAATTTTTTTTTTGAGACGGATTCTTACTCTGTCACCCAGATTGAAGTGCAGTGGCGCTGTACTGCAACCTCCACCTCCCAGGTTCAAGCGATTCTTGTGCCTCAGCCTTCTGAGTAGCTGGGATTACAGGCATGCGACACTGCGTCTGGATAATTTTTGTATGTTTAGTAGATGTTTAGTACATGTTGGCCAGGCTGGTCTCGAACTTCTGATCTCAGGTGATCTGCCCGCCTTGGCCTCCCAAAATGCTGGGATTACAGGCATGAGCCACTGTGCCTGACAAAAAAAAAAAAAATTAGCCAGATGTGGTGGCATGTGCCTGTAGTCCCAGCTACTCAGGAAGCTGAGGTGGGAGGATCACTTAAGCCTAGGAGTTCAAGACTGCAGTGAGCTATGATCACACCACTGCACTCTAGCCCAGGCAACAGAGTCAGACCCTGTCTCTCAAAAAACAAACAAACAAACAATGTCGGGGTATGGTGGCTCACACCTGTAATCCCAGCACTTTGGGAGGCTGAGGTGGGAGGATCACTTGAGCACAAGAGTTCAAGACCAGCCTGGAAAACACAGCGAGATCTCATCTCTACAAATAAAAAAAATTAGTGGGGGGTGGTGGTGCACACCTGTGGTTCTAGCTACTTGGGAGGCAAAGGCGGGAGGATCACTTGATCCTGAAACATCAAGACTTCGGTGAACTGTGATTGCACCACTGCTTTCCAGCCTAGGTGACGGGATGAGACCCTATCTCAAAAAAATATTTTTAAATTAAAAAACAGAGATGTGAGTTCAATTTCAGATTAACTGTATTATAGCATTGAGAGGGTCAGTGGGGTGCTTGCGAGGAGATATCCAAATAGGCACTTGGCAATGTAAGTCTTGAGCTAAAGAAAAAACGAGGCTAATAAGAGATTTGGTAGTCTGGATGAAAATACTAAGAAAGACTTCTCATCCTATACAGTATTTTAGGTTCCTGGAACCTTTTTAAAACACCCAAATTGGCCATAGGATCTTCAACGACCCTCCATTCTTCCATTTTCAAGTTTTTTTTTTTTTTTTTTTTTTGAGGTAGAGTCTCACTCTTGTCGTCCAGGCTGGAGTGCAGTGGCAATCTCGGCTCACTGCAACCTCTGCTTTCTGGGTTCAAGTGATTCTTCTGCCTCAGCCTCCAGAGTAGCTGGGATTACAGGCGTGTGCCACCATGCCCAGCTATTTTTTTTTTTTTTTTTTTGTATTTTTAATAGGGATGGGTTTTCACCATGTTGGCCAGGCTGGTCTCGAACTCCTGACCTCAAGTGATCCGCCCACCTTGGCCTCCTAAAGTGCTGGGATTACAGGCGTGAGCCACCGCAGCCAGCCTATTTTCAAGTTCTTTTGGCCATAACATTCTGGTGAGCTCTTTCATTCCAAGCGTGTTGCCTGTTTTACCTCATTTGACCTTGTCTTTTTCCTCCAGTATGGTAACCACCTCCCCTCCCCTAGGAAGCCCTCCTGGGTGGCAGAGGTGAATGCTAACTCCTTGTAGCTCGCACCTTCTTCATCTTTGGTTATGAAGGAGATGGGGTTAAACCACTTGTTCCAGCCAACAGCATGTGGAAAGACTCTGTGACAAGGAGGAGCACAGCATGTCGTGAAGAACTGAGAGAAGGCCAGTGTGATTGCAGCACAAAGTGCGGGGGCGAGGTACAGGCCCGCGCTGCAGGGCCCTGTAGACCTTGCCAAGAGCAGTAGGGGGGAAAAAAGGAAAGGTTTTAAATGGGGGTGTAGAGTGGAGGATTCTAAGGATCAGTTTTACAATGTGGAAAAGCCTGTTCTGGTCAGTTGGATCCGGAGTGGACACGGGAAGGCCCGCAGTGAGGGTTTTGCCGCCTGCTGATGACAGTCTGTGGCCTATTCATACTCTTTTGTGTCCTTTTGTGAATGTGGATGTATACTGTATAGATGTGTGGACTTGAGCTGACTTGTTCTTTTGCTGTTTAATCTGACTCATCTCCTTTGTAAACAGTAAGGTTATTGAGGGTGAAGATTAGTTTTCTTTTTTTTTTTTCTATGCTCTAAATCCCTATGCTATGACACAGGAAACACAACAGTTATTTAGATTGTGACTACTGAAAATTGCCCCAAGGTGCCGCGTTTATAAAACTCACCCAAGGTTGGCCGGACGCAGTGGCTTACGCCTGTAATCCCAGCACTTTGGGAGGCTGAGGCGGGCGGATCATGAGGTCAGGAGTTCGAGACCAGCCTGACCAACATGGTGAAACCCCGTCTCTACTAAAAATACAAAAATACAAAAAAAAAAAAAAATTAACCAGGCGTGGTGGCAGGTGCCTGTAATCTCAACTACCCAGGAGGCTGAGGCAGGAGAATTGCTTGAACCCGGGAGGTGGAGGTTACAGTGAGCCGAGATCACACCGCTGTACTCCAGCCTGGGCGACAGTGCAAGACTCTGTCTCAAAAAAAAAAACCTCACTCAAGGCCAGGCGTGGTGGTTCACACCTGTAATCCTAGCACTTTGGGAGGCTGAGACGGGCGGATCACCTGAGGTCAGGAGTTTGAGACCAGCCTGGCCAACATGGTGAAACCCCATCTCTATTAAAAGCACAAAAATTAGCCGGGTGTGGTGGTTCCAGTACTGGGGTTCTAGTACTTGGGAGGCTGAGGCAGGAGAATGTCTTGAACCCGGGAGGTGGAGGTTGCAGTGAGCCGAGATTGCGCCAGCCTGGGCGACAGAGCAAGACTCTGTCTCAAAACAAAACCAAACAAAACAAAAAACTCACCCGAAAGTAACCTTTATTGGCCTTATTAAATTGACAGTGGTTGCTTTTTGTTCTGCTTTTGGTTTCTAGACATTTGGATGGAGGATTACATAATACAGAGAAAAATCTGGACATCTAAGGCCTTCCTACTCAAAGTGTGGTCTGTGGACCAGCTGCATTGGGGTTAGAAATGAAAAATCAGCTGGGTGCGGTGGCTCATGCCTATAATCCCAGCGCTTTGGGAGGCTGAGGCAGGAGGATTGCTTGAGCCCAGGAGTTTGAGACCAGCCTCGACTACATAGGGAGACCCCATCTCTATAAAAAATAAAAAATTAGCCAGGCGTGGTGGTGCATGCCTATAGTCTCAGCTACTCCAGCAGCTGAGGTGGAAGGATCGCCTGAGCCTAGAAGGTCAAGTCTGCAGTGAGCCATGATGGCATTACTGCACTCCAGTCTGGGCAACAGAGTGAGACCCTGTCTTAAAAAAAAAAAAAAAGAAAAAGAAAAAAAGAAAGAAAGAATTGAACAATCTCAAGGCCCACCCCAGACCCATTGAATTGGAATCTGCATTTCAGCACAATGCCCAGTGAATTCTCACCTATATTAAAGTTTAAGAAACATCTGGGTTTCTCAGCAACATCCCCCTGCACGTCTGTGGATAATGTTGGTCCCTCAGATGTATGTGGCATTTATCGCATCCCGTCTGGTGTGGAAATCTGTGCCTATGGTTTCTTTCCCTGCCAGGCTGTGACTTCCTGGAAGGTAAGGGCTGAGCGCTGTGTATAGCTCTGGATCTCTTATAGCACAATGACAGGAAGCAGAAGACCTGGGTTTCTGTCCTGGCTCTGCCATTTATGAGCTCTTTGTGTTGTATCATCTGTGAGAGGATTTTCGATCTTTCCAAGAAAGGGATTCACCCCAAATCTAACTGTTTAAAAGTCAGAGACAGGCCAGGCGCGGTGGCTCACGCCTGCAATCCCAGCATTTTGGGAGGCCAAGGTGGGTGGATCACCTGAGATCAGGAGTTCGAGACCAGCCTGGCCGACATGGTGAAACCCCATTTCTACTAAAAATACAAAAAAAATTAGCCGGGTGTGGTGGTGGGCACCTGTAATCCCAGCTACTCAGGAGGCTGAGGCAGGAGAATCTCTTGAACTCAGGAGGTGGAGGTTGCAGTGAGCCAAAATCGTGCCATTTCACTCCACCCTGGGCAACAAGAGTGAAACTCTGTCTCAGAAAAAAAAAAAAAAAGTCAAAGATGGGGCCGGGCACAGTGGCTTATGCTTGTAATCCCAGCACTTTGGGAGGCCAAAGTGGGCGGATCATTTGAGGTCAGGAATTCAAGACTAGCCTGGCCAACATGGTGAAACCCTGTCTCTAATAAAAATACAAAAACTAGCCAGGTGGTAGTTGTGCGTGCCTGTAATCCCAGCTACTCAAGAGGCTGAGGCAGGAGGATCACTTGAGCCTGGGAGGCAGAGGTTGCGGTGAGCCAAGATTGCACCGCTGCACTCCAGTCTGGGTGACAGAGAGAGACCCTGTCTCAAAAATAAATAAATAAATAAAAATAAATAAAAGTCAAAGAAGGTGGAAGACTCCTGTACCTAGTTTATTTCCGGGCTTCATCTACAGGAGAAGGCACTTATGGATGGAAGGAAGAAGACAGTAACCAATTCTAGAGTAAATGATATCCAGGGTATATGAGGAACTTGGGTTATAGTTGCCCCAACAGCTTCCCCAAGGCTTTTCTAGAAGTTTCCAGCTTTGCTGAAAGTTCCTGTCAGCATCAAAAGCAAGCCGAGGCCAGGTGCAGTGGCTCACACCTATAATCCCAGCACTCTGGGAGGCCGAGGAGGGTGGATCACTTGAGCCCAGGAATTTGAGACTAGCCTGGCCAACAGGGCGAAAACCCGTCTCTACTAAAAATACAAAAAATTAGCCGGGTTTGGTGGCTTATGCCTGTAGTCCCAGCTACTTAGGAGGCTGAGGCAGGAGAATTGCTTGAACCTGGGAGGTGGAAATTGCAGTGAGCCAAGATCACACCACTGCATTCCAGCCTCTAAAAAAACAAAACAAAACAAAACAAACAAACAAAAAAAGCAAGCCAATAATTATCATGGGAGAAGCACGGCAAGGTCTCTGTGCTCTGCAGATGTGTTCTGAAGCTCAGGTCACAGATGGAGCTGTGAGGGACACATTGCTAGGGCCTGGGCAGGTTCTGAGGCTCAGGACTTTCAAAGGGCCATGGAAGTCAGAGTGCTGCTGTAATCTTCAGAAAGCCCACTCAAGAAAGCCCACTCAGAAAGCCCAGCTCAAGAGGATCTGTTCCCTGCCTAGAGGGATATGATCTGGAGTCCTCAAAGGCCCCCACAGCCAGCTGTGAACAGGGAATAGCAGAGAGTTTGGGAAGAGATGAGGAAAGAGTAGGGAAGAAATATTTCTATTAGGCCACTGCAAAAGTAACTGCAAAAACCACAATTACTTTTGCAGCAACCTAATACGTAGTATGGAAGTAATATCTGCTGAAGCCAAATGGTGTATCAACAGTTCTGCACGTGTGACTCGGAGGTGGGGGTGGGGTAAGGTTTGTGTTGATCTGGCATTTTTCAATTTGGAAAAGGCTGGGAGATCCAGATGGGAGAGAAGGAACTCAAAGCAAACGTCTGCCAGCCCACTGTCAAAGATATGACACCTCAGGTCTAAGGCGCTGCAGTTTCTTTATTTTTTCTTTTTATAGAGATGGGGTCTTGCTGTGTTGCCTGGGCTGGACTCAAACTTCTGGGGTTAAGCGATTCTCCCACCTCAGCCTCCCAGAGTTTGCAGATTACAGCCATAAACCACCGTGCCCAGCCCTCTGCAGTTTCTAAAAGAGGTTCATCAATACAAATTCTCAGCATCATTCTCCAATTAGGCTCCCCCATTAACCAATTGTTTCTAATGACCGATTATTAATTTGCAAGAGAATTCTTCCTCTAACTCATACCATCCCACTCAGACAGAGTTCAGTATTTTCCTTCACTTTAATTTTTATTGCTTCTCCAGTTCAGATAATTCAGCGCTTCCTCTTTCTTCTTCCTCACCTTGTTCATGGCTGGCTGTTCCATCAGCAGAACTACAAAACCAGAAAGGCAACAAAATTTGAAAGGTTTCTCGGCATCCTCCAAGGAGGCTGTGGGGGAATATGAAAAAGAAGGTGGTGTCTGGAGCCACACAGACCAGAGTCCAAAGCCCAGCTCTGCCATTATTAGCTGTGTGATCTTGAACAAATCACTCACCTGTAAAATGAGCTCATAAAGCTTGTGAATGTGAGAATGATATCAGGTAATAAATGAATGGCAATTCGGTGCCAGGAATGTGCTGAGCTCTCAATTTATGGTCAAGAACATCACTGGGATGGCTACTAATCACTTGGTTAGACTTTTGGTCTCCCACATGGCAACGGAGACCAACTGAAAATGTGTTCAGAAGTCTGTAGTTGTTACCTCTAGTGGATCCTGTCCCTCCAACTAGTAAGAGTCAAGGAAGAGGAGCTGGATTTAAAGCATTCAGAATGTCCTTTCTCTAACAGTAACAAAATCACAAGAGCTACATTTATTGAGCATTTATTCTGTGCTAGGCAGTATTAACATGTATTAACTCATTTCACCCTTACAATCACTCTGAGATAGGCACTAATATCACTCCCAATTTTTTTTTTTTTTTTGAAACGGAGTTTCACTTGTCACCCAGGCTGGAGTGCAATGGCATGATCTTGGCTCACCGCAATCTCCGCCTCCTGAGTTCAAGCGAGTCTCCTGCCTCAGCCTCCCGAGTAGCTGGGATTACAGGCATGTGTCACCACGCCTGGCTAATTTTGTATTTTTAGTAGAGACGGGGTTTCTCCATGTTGGTCAGGCTGGTCTCAAACTCCCGACCTCAGGTGATCCACCGGCCTCCCAAAGTGCTGGAATTACAGGCACGAGCCACTGCGCCTGGCCTATCACTCCTATTTTTACAGGTAAGGAAGCAGATCAGAGAGGTTAAGTGACTTGCCCAAACTCCCGTAATACTAGTAGATGACATACCCAAAATAGTAAGAATAGTGGTTTTATGTACCAGGCATGTCTGTACTCAGGGCTTTTTTTGTATGGTTGTATAATTTGTTGACTGCACAAAAGAGCCTGGCCAAAGGGGCAAGCTGAGGCTGAAACGTAGCCCCTGCTCTGTTTGCTCCGTACCCTGGCATGAGGCTGTGCCGCCTGGAGGAAGGGACACCTTTTTCTAATTTGACAAAGATGCCATATGAGCTCTCAGAGGCTCTGTTAATGCTTTATGTGTGTTACCTTCTCTACTCCTCAAAACAGCTCTGTGGGCTAGATATGAATACCCTCATTTTATAGATGAGGAAATCCAGGCTTAGTGAGTTCAGGTCACTGAGTTAAGTCACTTGGTAAGGGATAAAGCTAGGATTTGAGCCTGATGCCAAAGCCCATGCTCTAAACCAGTAGGCCACTATACTGGCCCCATCCCTAAGTGCTCAATAAGTGAAAAAAGGAAAAAATACATAATCATCTGGTTTTTACCTTAAAAAATATGGCAGTTCTAATGAGGCCCCAGTAAGGGCTACTGAGGTCCTTAGTAAGAAAAATAATTAGAGGCCGGGCGCGGCGGCTCACGCCTGTAATCCCAGCACTTTGGGAGGCCGAGGCGGGCGGATCACGAGGTCAGGAGATCAAGACCATCCTGGCTAACACGGTGAAACCCCGTCTCTACTAAAAATACAAAAAAATTAGCCGGGTGTGGTGGCCGGCGCCTTTAGTCCCAGCTACTCAGGAGGCTGAGGCAGGAGAATGGTGTGAACCTGGGGGGTGGAGCTTGCAGTGAGCAGAGATCACACCACTGCACTCCAGCCTGGGCAACAGAGCGAGACTCCATCTCAAAAAAAAAAAAAAAAAAAGTAAAAGAATTGATCAGGAAGTCGGAGCATCGGCTTTCAGTGCTCCAAACTGTGGCTTTATGCTTATTAACTATTTCTGTATTTCAATTTCCTTGTCTGAAAGTAAGAATAACATTATAAAGGAACAATTCTTGTAGTTGTTTGCAAAGTGTTTATGCATACATGATAACCCTCATATCAAAATGATCCTCACATCATCAAACCTGGGAGAAAGGCATTATTATTACTCTTTTGCTCAATGAGGTGAGTAACATGCTCAGCATGAGTAGGGCAGAATGGGACCTGAAACCAGGGATCCTGACTTATCTTGTACTTCTTGCTAAGTACCTTAGAACTTTTGGAGCACCTGCAGCCTGCCTGGTGGCCCAGACATCACATGGTGCACATGCAAGTCAGAGAGCAGTTGGAAACTGACAATAGGCACGTGACCACACTCTGTTCCTTCAGGAGACTTGGCAGGAAGGAGCACTCTGGGAGGAGTCTTTGTTTGGCTCCCATGCGTGAAAACAAAACTTCTGCCTTTGCAGGAGCTGGGGCAGTCTGAGTTACAGACTTGGGTAAGACTTTCAGAGCTTCCTTAGGAGGGAAGGATGGCCTGGTGGCATTTAGGTTCAACTCCTTTCTGACAGGGCTCAGCCTTCCTGTTTCCCATCCTTGGCTGTGGCCAGGTTCAAAGGAAATACCATCTGTGGAAGCACTTTCCAAAGAGGCGTGGTCCAAGTGCAGAATGTTTTTCCTCTCCTCTGTGGATCTCAGGAAGCCGATTCCATCTGTGCTCAAATGACAGACTTGCTCATCCTGTGATAAAATGTGGGCTGCTGCCCCCACCCCAGCTTGGTGCCCTTCTAAAATGAAAACATGCATGTGTGTTCTCTCCCCACCTCCCCAACAGCAATCCGCCACTATCTCTGGCTCTGCAGACCTACTCTGTGCAGGCTGGCAAGTGCTGCCATGCACAAGGCCCCTTCTGGGTTGTGGGTACACTACGCCTTATGCGGGCGAGGTATGTGGATAACAGGGAAGGGGGAAATACATAAACATACAGACCTTCCAGCGATTGCCACATTCATTGCATAAGACAAAGGTAGTCATGGGCTCATCAGCACTGCGTGTCTGCACCTGAGAGAGAGAAGAACCACTCATGAAGTCACTCCCCTGTTCTAGGACCTGCCATGGCTCCCACTGTCTTTAGGAGTAGGTCCAAATCCCAGAGGTTGGCACTGAGATTCCCACCCCCCGCTGGCAATTTCCTTATCACTGACAACTCCATAATATTAGTATTATGCTTTCCTCTCCTCTGGCAGGCAGTCCATCAGCTCACTCCCAGTATCTTACTGGCTTAACCTGGCCTTTTGCACTTCCGCTTTTTTTTTTTTTTTTTTTTTGACAGTGGAGTCTCGCTCTGTTGCCCAGACTGGAGTGCAGTGGTGCCATCTCGGCTCACTGCAACCTCCACCTCCTGGGTTCAAGCAATTCTCCTGCCTCAGCCTCCTGAATAGCTGGGATTACAGGCGCCCGCCACCACGCCCGGCTAATTTGGACTTTCACTCTTGTTGGTCACTCTTGTTGATCTTTTGTAACAGACCTCTCTTCTCTTGCCTCAAGACTTATCTCCTACAGGAAGTATTCCCTGACTCACCCCTGAACACATCCTACTGGACAAGTTCACAGGAGTGAGCTGCAAGCAGGCTTAGCGGTCTAGTTCATCTTCCTTATTTTACTGGTGGAAGACCTGAGGCCCAGAGAGGGAAAGTCCTAAATATCATTGGGACTATTTAATGTTACATTTTCTCATCCTCTTAGCCTCATCATTCAGGTGCAGGAACCGGGTATCCCACAGTAAAGCCCTGGCATTTCCAGGTTTAACAGCTCCTGTTCTGGTTTTCTAAGGCTGTCCTTGGCTGGCCACGACATGTAGCAAGTCATTACTTTGCTGACAATCAGCTACGAATGATGTCAGCTGGGAATCTGTGGTGTGGGACGAGTTATGCCCGCCACCCTCCTTGGGTGAGCCCCAGCAGCCCAGCAGTCTGCCAGGCGGACACAGCTTAGCGCAGCCTGGTCACTGGAAAGCAGTGACGAGCAGAGAGAAAACTTTGCTAGTGGGCAGTTTACTTCTAGAAAGAAGTGAGGCACAGGAAGCGCATCACTCCACACGGAAAGGTGCTTGGGAGAGAGCAGAAGCTTGCACAAACATCTCCGGATTCCAGAACTGGAATTCTCCAAGGGACTCCTCCGGAATGGCAAGGCTGACTGCATTTCTGCCCTGGCCACAGAATGCCGCAGGCAAGGTGCTCTTGATAAATGGTGTGTGCCGAACAGACGGAGAACTCTGAATAGAGTTCTAGAATGACTAGACACCAGTTAGAATCCAAGGATATTTGTGCTCTAAGGGCATACCATGTGCAACCCAGAAAGAGGAGGCCATTCTCTGGTTTTAAGAGAAGGGGCCTCCACAGCCTTCCCAAGTTCCCCATGCCAGGGCAATGGTCTTCAACTTTAGGACTCAGAGCTAAAGCCCTTAGGCTTTATTGACCAAGTTAGCTGGATTGCAGGCAGAATGGTGTGGATCTTGTTTATTACTACCTCTGACATTGGCCTCCTTTCTTGGGCAAGGCTAAAAAGCCCATCTGTGGCCTGTGTGGGCCTCAGTTTCCCTGGGTGTGTAATGAGGGAGCTGGGTTTCACATTGCCAAGTTCCCTTCCAACTGTCTATGACTCTTCAGCCGCCATGAGTCTGATTCTTCTTATTGTCACGTCAGGGCAGACCAGAACACACTGACCAAGCCTCGTAGACACATAGCAGGGATGATTCTAAACTCAGAGGAACATTGTCTAGAAGCCACAGGTGCACCACATTAGTGTACCAAGGCTTGCCCTTCTCTCTGCAGCCTGGAGAGTTTTTAAGGTTTTCTTTGTTTTGTTGAGTCAGGGTCTCATTCTGTCACCCAGGCTGGAGTGCAGTGGTGCAATCATAGCTCATTGCAGCCTCAATTCACTGTAGCCTCAACCTCCTGGGCTCCAGTGATTCTCCTGCCTCATCGCCACCCATTTCCCCCGCATCCAGTAGCTGGGACTACAGGCACACACTACCAAGCCTGGCTAATTTTTGTATTTTTAGCAGAGATGACGTTTCACCACGTTGCCCAGGCTGCTCTCAAACTCCTAGGCTCAAGCAATCTGCCTGCCTCGGCCTCCCAAAGTGCTGGGATTACAGGCGTGAGCCACTGAGCTGGCCCAGCCTAGAGAGGTTTTCTTTTTGTTGTTTGTTTGGTTTGAGACAGAGTCTCCCTCTGTCGCCCAGGCTGGAGTACAGTGGTGCAATCTCGGCTCACTGCAGCCTCCACCTCCCAGGTTCCAGTGATTCTCCTGCCTCAGCCTCCAGGGTAGCTGGGATTACAGGCACGTGCCACCATGCCTGGCTAATTTTTTTTTTCTTTCAGATGGAGTCTCACTCTGTCGCCCAAGCTGGAGTGCAGTGGCATGATCTCGGTTCACTGCAAGCTCCACCTCCCGGGTTCACGCCATTCTCCTGCCTCAGCCTCCTGAGTAGCTGGGACTACAGGTGCCCGCCACCACACCCTGCTAATTTTTTGAATTTTTAGCAGAGACGGGGTTTCACCGTGTTTGCCAGGATGGTCTCAATCTCCTGACCTCGTGATCCGCCCGTCTTGGCCTCCCAAAGTGCTGGGATTATAGGCGTGAGCCACCGCGCCCGGCATTTTTGTATTTTTAGTAGAGATGGGGTTTCACTGTGTTGGCCAGGCTGGTCTCAAACTCCTGGCCTCAGGTGATCCACTCGCCTTGGCCTCCCAAAGTGCTGTGATTACAGACATGAGCCACCGCACCCGGCAAAGCCTAGAGAGTTTTAACGCTTTCTCCCCTCTGGCTCTTCCCTAAGCTTCTCTCTGATTTTCCACCTCTATGCCCCTGCGGCCTCCTGCACCTCCGGCCCGTCCCCTCACTGTCCTTACCTGGTTATAGGTGCAGTTCTTCTTCTTGCATTTGCTGCACTGGAAGAGGTCAGTGGTGGTGCCGCCAGTCTTGGCCATCTGGTGCTCACGGATGGCCTCCTGGGTCATGGCATTCCTCAACTCCCTCAGTTCATCACTGGCCATTTCCTGGAGAAAAAAGAGTCTACCCTTCAGGGCTGAGGAGTTTCAGGGGCCCTGCCCTACACCCGGTTTCTAGAAAGCCTGAACAGAAAAGGAGGTAACATGCTTTATTGACTGCAAGGAGCTGGAAGGAGGCCTGGATTCCGGGTCCTGCCCCAGCTGGGAGAAAGCTGTCCCCGCAGAGTCCTCCTGCCGCCCACGGCTGGAAGGTCATAATGCACATTCAGGTGAGCAGCAGGCAAACAGCCTCTGCCCGAGGACGAGCACTCCTGTGTACATTTCTTCAGATCTGGGGCTCATCCTGCCTGCCAGGACCTTGGCCTTGGCCTGAACCTTCCTGCTTGAGCTGACTTGATCACTGCCACCTGGTCTATGATGTTCCCCTTAGCCTTCCTCTCTAGACTTGACCCAGTGCTCTTTTACGCTGTGATCACTGCCCTGCTGTTCTGCTTAGTGGGAACCTTGGCGCAACTACCCATGACTTGCTGCTGCTACCCCCATCCTGAAGCTCCTGGGCTCACACAACTAACTGTTCATCTGATGAGCATGCATCCAAGATCATCTTTTTCTGAGAGTTTCTACAGAAGAGTCTCCAGTCTCCCACCAGCTCACAGTAGACACTCCGGGTCTGCATCACCCACACCTTTGCTTTCTCTGTCCATCTCCCTGGCCACTTGTCTCCCCTTAAGCCTCTGCCAGAGGACAGCAGAGAGGGAGCTCCAGTTAAGGGTTGGTGGAAGGGGAAGGAGGGTGGCTGACGCGAATCTCAAAATGAGGATTTTAAACTTTTTTTTTTTTTTTTTGAGATGGAGTCTCGCTCTGTCACCAGGCTGAAGTGCAGTGGTGCGATCTCGGCTCACTGCAACCTCCACCTCCTGGGTTCAAGCGATTCTCCTGCCTCAGCCTCCCGAGTAGCTGGGACTACAGGCTCATGCCACCACACCCAGCTAATTTTTGTATTTTTAGTAGAGACGGGGTTTCACCATATTGGCCAGGATGGTCTCGATCTCCTGACCTTGTGATCCACCCACCTCATCCTTCCAAAGTGCTGGGATTACAGGTATGAACCACTATGCCTGGCTTAAACATTTTAATTGTTGCTGTCTGTCCTGAGTCCTTAAACCATGGAGAAGAATGCTGGCATAAAGGTCAAAGCATTTTAGTGTGCTCACCTTTCATTATAACCACTTAGGCTTCTTGATAAAATGCAGATTCCTATGAATCTGAATTGCTAAGGGCAGGCCCAGGAATATGCATTTTTTAAAGTTCTTTATTTGGTTATTTTTGGGACAGGATCTTGCTGTCACCTAGGCTGGAGTGCAGTGGTGCGATCGTGACTCATGGCAGCCTCAACCTCCCCAGGCTCAAACGATTCTCCCACCTCAGCCTCCCAAGTAGCTGGGACTACACCCAGCATGCACCACCAAACCTGGTTAATTATTTTTTGTATATTTTTGTAGAGATGGGGTTTTCCCATGTTGCCTAGGCTGGTCTCCTGAGCTCAAGTGATCTGCCTACTTTGGACTCCCGAAGTGCCGGGATTACAGGCATGAGCCACTGCGCCTGGCCAGAATATGCATTTTCACTAGTGTCCTCAAGTTATTCTGGTACGTATTAATGTTTAAGTCCTAGTGTGTTAAATTCAAAGGCTAGGCCCTAACCAATGGCAGGAGAATATAGAAAAACAAGTCAATGAAAGCCATTTACCCATATGAGTAAAAAGTAGCTGACTTTAATTTGAGGGGATTTTCCAGAGCATAAAGCATTTGCCCATTCAAAATTTATTGGATGTGGCCAGGTGCAGTGGCTTACACCTGTAATCTCAGCACTTTGGGAGGCTGGGACAGGTGGATCACCTGAGGTCAGGAGTTGGAGACCAGCCAGGTCAACATGGTGAAACCCCATCTGTACTAAAAATACAAAAAATTAGCTGGGTGTGGTGGCGGGCACCTGTAATCCCAGCTACTTGGAAGGCTGAAGCAGGACAATTGCTTGAACCTGGGAGGTTTAAGTTGCAGTGAGCTGAGACTGCACCATTGCACTCCCGCCTGGGCAACAACAGCGAGATTCCATCAAAAAAAAAAAAAAAGCCAGGCATTGGTGGTGCATGCCTGTAATCTCAGCTATTTAGGAGGCTGAGGCAGGAGAATCGCTTGAACCTGGGAGGTGGAGGGTGCAGTGAGCCGAGATCACGTCACTGCACTCCAGCCTGGGTGACAGAGTGAGACTCCGTCTCAAAAAACAAAAACAAAATCTATTGGATGCCAATTTACTGAATGCCTTTAACTGTATCAGTTTGCAGGTAAACCAGCTTTGGTTGTGGGGATGCCTTGATTTGTAGTGTTTGTCAGCTTCCATGGGACAAAATGCTATGGTCAATGGGACAAAATTCCATGGCCAATTTCAAGCTGCTAATGTGATATAACTGAACGCAGAGTTGGGAAGAGCTACACATCACCAGCTCCCTTGAGCTGGTAGGAGCTAGCTCAAGCATGCTACTGCCTCTGAGTCCAACGGATTCAGAAAGGAAGATCTGGTTCCTCCTCCCAAGTAGTGCTAATCTGATAGGGTAGCCAAGCATTTACACGAGATTGCAAGAGAGGGAAGGAAGTACTAAAGTGAAGGCATATAAGGTGCAGGGGAAAGCAACAGGGTATGGTGGTTAACTGTTTGGGGTCTGGTGGGTCATGAAGAAGCTAGTACTTTAACCAGTCTTGAAAGATAGGAGTTCCTGGGGTGGGTGGTGGCACATTCCAGACAAATAAAACAGCAGGGCCGGGCGCAGTGGCTCACACATGTAATCCCAGCACTTCAGGAAGCCGAGGCGGGCAGATCACCTGAGGTCAGGAGTTTGAGACCAACCTGGCCAACATGGCGAAACTTCGTCTCTACTAAAAATAGAAAAATTAGCCAGGCATGGTTACATGGTTACAGGTGCATGCCTGCAGTCCTAACTACTTGGGAGGCTGAGGCAGGAGAATCTCTTGAACCTGGGAGGTGGAGGTTGCAGTGAGCTGAGATTATGCCATTGCACTCCAGCCTGGGTGACAGCCAGACTCCATCTCAAAAGAAAAAACAAAAAACAAAAAACAGCAGGCACAAAAGATCAGAGGACAAGAATAGCATGTTTGGGGAAAAGTATTTGGGGTAGGTTCAAGTCAAGCATGGGAGATGTGGCTGGAGGTCAGATTGTGGAAGGAAGGTCTTGTGTGCCAGCTAAGAAATAGAGAACAGAAAAATCTATCCAGCCACACGCCAATTCATTGACTTCTCTGCCCTGCCTCATTAGAATGAGGCAGCATCAGAGACACGGAGAATAAATACAACACTGTAGAAAATAAGGTGGAAAATGAAGGAAATGAGAGTCAGAGACCACAATTCTATCCCTATTTGTTGAGCCCTGTGATGTACCAGACACTGTTGTCAGTGCTGGGTGGACTGTGAATGCCGGTTCTCAGGGGACTGACAGGATGCTATGTCCACTCAGCAGCGCTCATGGGTATCTCAGAGCCTACTCCATTCTTTGCTATGTCTGAGTAGGGAAGAAAAGAGAAGAAGAAAGAATGAGGGAGTCAGGTAAACAAGGAAAGAGGCATAAAAAGGGAGTCAGGGAAGGGAGTTCTGAGAGAGACACCGTCCACATGGGTTCCTGATGGGCGCTTCCCCTCACAGCAGGCAGCCCAAGCCCAAGCTAAGATTTTTCTGTTTTTTTTTCTTTTTTTCTTTCTTTCTTTCTTTTTTTTTTTTTTTTTTGAGATGGAGGATCTCAGCTCACTGCAACCTCTGCCTCCTGGGTTCAAGCGATTCTCCTGCCTCAGCCTCCCGAGTAGCTGGGACTACAGGTGTGTGCCACCACGCCCGGCTAATTTTTGTATTTTTAGTAGAGACAGGGTTTTGCCATCTTGAACTCCTGAGCTCAGGAGTTCTGCCCACCTCGGCCTCCCAAAGTGCTGGGATTACAGGCATGAGCCACCTCACGTGGCCTGTTGAAATCCTAACCCCAAGGCAATGGTTATTAGGGGGTCTTTGGGAGGTGATTAGCTCTCAAGGGCAGAGCTCTGGTGCAGGGGATTAGTGCTCCTCTAATAGGGGCCTGAGAAAGACCCCTCCACCATGTGAGGTTACAGTGAGAAGATGGCTGTCTATGAGGAAGCAGGCCCTCACTAGACACTGAATCTGCTGCTGCCCTGATGTTGGACTGTCCAATCTCTAGAAATGTGAGAACTAGGCCAGGTGTCATGGTTCACGCCTGTAATCCCAGCACTTTGGGAGGCTGAGGCAGGTGGATTATCTGAGGTCAGGAGTTTGAGACCAGCCTGGCCAACATGGTGAAATCCCATCTCTACTAAAAATACAAAAATTAGCCGGGCATGGTGGCACACCCCTGTAATCCCAGCTACTCGGGAGGCTGAGGCAGTAGAATCGCTTGAACCTGGGAGGTGGAGGCTGCAGTGAGCCCAGATTGTGCCACTACACTCCAGCCTGGGCAAAAGAGTGGACTCCATCTCAAAAAAACAAGCAAACAAAAAAAAAGAAATGTGAGGAATAAATGCCTGTTGTTTATAAACTACCCAGGCGATGTTCGTTATAGCAGTCTGAACTGACGAAAGACACACTGTAAAGCCAAGTTGCAATTTATAACTCCAGGCATATGTTGCTATTTACCCAAAAAGATCAGATATTTTAAATTAGGCAGAAAGATAACCCTGGTCTACCTGTGCCAAGTTCCCCATTTCATCCTAAAGCCAAGGCTCTTTGCTGTTTGTTTTGGGTGTTTGAGGAAAGCAGTGAACCCTCTCCTCAGAAGAATGTACATACACACACTACATAACACAGACACACACTTCCACATGCCACACATACACAAACCACACATGCCACACATATGCTAATCACACACCACACACATACTTCACATGACATCATACACACACACTCCACACATCATACACACACACTCCACACATCATACACAAAACACACTCCACACATCATCATGCACAATACACACACACTCCACACATCATGCACAATACACACACACTCCACACATCATACACACCACACACTCCACACATCACACACTCACACTCCATACATCATACACACATATTCCACACATCATACACGCCACATACACTCCACACATCAGACACACACACTCCACACATCATACACACACACTCCACACATCATACACACACACACACACTCCACACATCATACACACACACTCCACACATCATACACACCACACACACTCCACACATCACACACACACACTCCACATATCATACATGCCACACACATATACTATACACCAAACACACCTCACACATCATACACACCACACACACACCCACTCCACACATACACAGCCCCCACACTCCACACATCATATATACCAGTGGTCCCCAACATTTTTGGCGCCAGGGACTGGTTTCCTGGAAGACAGTTTTTCCATGGACAGGGTGGGGGATGGTTTCAGGATGATTCAAGTACATTACATTTATTGTGCACTTTATTTCTATTATTATTACAGTGTGATATATATAATGAAATAATTATCCAACTCACCATAATGTAGAATTAGTGGGAGCCCTGAGATCCCTTGTTTTCCTGCAACTAGATGGTTCCCACTTGGGGTGCTGGGAGACAGTGACAGATCATCAGGCATTAGATTCTCATGAGAAGCATGCAACTTGGTTTCCTCGAATGCACAGTTCACAATAGGGTTCGTGCTCCTATGAGAATCTAATGCCGTCACTGATCTGACAGGAGGCGGAGCTCAGGCAGTAATGCGAGTGATGGGGAGAGGCTGTAAATACAGATGAAGCTTCGCTCACTTGCCCACTGCTCACCTCCTGTTGTGTGGCCTGGTTCCCAACAGGTACCAGCTGGTGGCCTGAGGGTTAGGGATCCCTAATATATACCATACGCACATGCTCCATACATACACACACATACATACCACACATGCACTCCACATATACACACCACACACACACCCCACATATACCCTCTACACACCTCACACATCATACGTACCACATAGACACGCACTCCACACGTACAGCCCCCACACATGCCACACAACCTAGCGCTGGGGCCAGACAGCTTGCCTCCTGGCTCCGACTCTTTCTAGCTGTGTGCATGGGCAAATTCGTTTACTCCTCTGAGCCTCAGGATCCTCATCTGTAGAATGGGGATAATACACCTTTCTATCTCAGTTGGTGTGAACATAAACTTGGCCAATTCGCTGAACACACTTAGCACAGCACTTAGAACCTATTAGCTGTGTTCAGTATCCTGCTAGTCCAGAGCCCAGGGGGGAGGCTGAGATGAGGCTGGTTTGAAAAGCTCCCTGGCTCACTGCTGATGAGTCACGAGCCACTGACCCTCTGCACTAGGCAGGGCTAGGGGGACCTGGCTTCCTGCCTCACCATGCAGATGCCCTGCTCTCACCTCTGCCGTCATCTTGGCTATAAGCCCTGCGGAGATGGCCCCACTGAGCACGTTCCGCCGCAGGCCGGGGTTCCTGGGGTCCTTGAGGTTGCTTATGCGGCTGCGCACGCGGTTCCGGTACTTCATGTCCGTGCTCTTGAGCTCTTGGTAGATATGTGACACAGTCAAGGGCCGGCCAGCCATTCATGGAGGGGCACAGAAGGGTGCAGGCCTGGCCCTGACGCCTGAGAGCTCCAGAACCCTTTCTTCCTCTCCTCGGACTTCTACAGGAGTTGGGCCCCTCTTTTGTGACCTCTGACTCTCCAAGTGGTGATGTCTCTTGGGCATTTGTGGTCAGCCAAGTAGCAGAGAAAGAAAATAGCTTCTGGGGTAAGATCAGATCATAGCAAGCACTATAGTGTCAGGGACACCAGGACCCTGGGTTTGTCTGAGCCTCTTGTGTGACCTCAGGTGAGTCACACAACCTCTACACGCCTGAGTTTCCTTATTTATAAAATACAAGGATTCTGTGAGCTAAGCCACGTGATGCACTAGTGTGGTGTCTGGGATATATCAAATGCTCAACATGTATGGGCTGCTAAGATGATGACAAGGATGCGGATAACTTCTAGTTTGGAAGGGCCCCTGGAGGTTGTGAGTCCAGCTGTCAGAGGAAAAGATTAAGAGCCACATGTTTAAGGCTCTACGAAGTATTGCAAAAAAGAAACCACTGAGCTTTGTTTAATCTGGTGTTCCCAATAAATTTGATTATAGAGTCCCCTTCCCCTCTGTCCTTTCCCCTACAAGACCTGTTACCATCCCATGGAACCCACGCTGGGAATTGCTGGTCAGAGTTACTTCTCCCATTAACAGATGAGGAAGCTGGGGCTTAGAAAGGGTGTAGGACCTTGCTCAAGGCCACCAGGCAAATTCCCGGCAGAGACAGGGCTGGAAGCCAGACCCCTCCTGACGGTAACTCTCTCCACTCACCCGGCAGGAAGTCATCCCTGGCCACCAACCACAGAGTTTCTGTCCAAACACTGCATCCTAGGCAGGCTTCCGAGCCTCCCACTCCCTCCACCCTCTGGAGGAGCTCGGGGAACACAGCCTCATTTTCTTGGTCTCCTGAGCCAAAGAAGATCAGGAAGACAAAGCTGTTGCTGGGAAGAGCCATATACAATAAAGAGACTGCGGAGAATGTGGAAAAATGAAAACAGATGACTTGCTAGAAGTGGTGGGAGGGGAGGTGGTATTCTTTCTTTTTTCTGTTATTGTTTTAATGTTGTTTGTACAATAAAAGTGTGAAAAGCAAAGAATATGCCACAATGCATGTGAAAGCCAAAAAATGTGTTTTAAAATGTACCACTTGGGATTCCTGGGGTGTATTGATATGCGGAGCCAGCAGGGCTGGCGATACTTTCACCAGCCTCTTTCTGACTCTGTCTCCATGTCCCAAGGCCACAGAGGGGACGAGGCAGAGAGCAGACCGGGGGCACCGGCCCCTCAGAGGAACTTTTGGCTGCATTGTTAGCACAGGGCCACTCCAAAGAGGACAGATCTATTTTAGGACATAGAGCAGTCAAGCCCCCAAATGTACCCTCCCCCTGACCTCCAGCTGGCTAAAAACAAAGAGCTAAAGTGTTTGATGCAGCTTTGATTTCCTCTCCTTTAGAAGAGGGACATTCAGGCTGGGGGTGGTGGCTCACGCCTGTAATCCCAGCATTTTACGAGGCTGAGGAGGGAGGATCACCTGAGGTCAGGAGTTCAAGACCAGCCTGGCCAACATGGTGAAACCCCATGTCTACAAAAAATACAACAAAATTAGCCAGGTGTGGTGGCGGGCACCTGTAATCCCAGCTACTTGGGAGGCTGAGGCAGCAGAATCACTTGAACCCAGAAGGCAGAGGTTGCAGTGAGCTGAGATCATGCCACTGCACTCCAGCCTGGGCAACAGAGCAAGATTCCATCTCAAAAAAAAAAAAAAAAAGGAACTTTCAGTGGATGGAGGAAAGGCTGGGAGTGGAACTTTGTACTGGACCATCTGCTGTTGTTTCAAACTGGGCTTAAAGGTGGAAAGGACCTGCTTGGAGGGATGACTGTTCAGGAGAAAATGAAGATGAAACTCGTGATAGTTCTCATACCTTGTGTTCTGCCTTCTTGAATTAACAGGAAATGATGAAAATGTACTTTTTGAGGTGCTGAATGGCTCCAGACTTGTTGAGGTATTGCTGATTAATCATTAAATGAGAGTAGAGAGAAACCACCAGAAAATAAGTTGGAGGGAATCAGGGTAGGCCACAGGAAGAAGATGGAAACGCAAATTTGTCGTCTGCAGATTGGCCCCTGGCTCTCCTCAACAGACCCTGCTGAACTCCGCAGGTAGAACCCAGGAGCCCTCAAAAGGGTCGCTCACACCTCGGTGTGACACTTAGACTTCCTGTCCCCTGACTGTCTCCCCGCTCCAATACCATGCAAACCTTTGTCTCTAGTAAAAGAAGCTCCATGTTTTCATTCAGTGGGGGCCAAGTGGGGTGGGATTTTTTTTCTCCCAAGCCAAACACCTTTTGGTGCAACAGATCTATGAATACATCCCAGTGGTGGCCACCTCTCCTGTCTACACAAGGCCCCTTTCAGGTGAGAAGTTGGGGAGCAGGGGGCACATGGAAAGGATTCAATACATGGAATCCAAAGACAAAGTCTCCAGTCCCGCTTTGACAGTTCTGAGCCTCAGACTCCTCATCTGTAAAATGGGAACAGTCCCTGCCTCACAGAGAATGCTGTGAGAGCTAACAGAGGTAGGAAGTGTCAATTGGCCATTGCAGTGCTTGATATATATTTGGGAGTAAAAAAACAGAGGGCAGGGCGCTGGGTGTGATGGCTCACACCTGTAATCCCAGCACTTTGGGATGCAAAGGTGGGTGGTGCATCACCTGAGGTCAGGAGTTCAAGACCAGCCTGACCAACATCGTGAAACCCCATCCCTACTAAAAGTACAAAATTAACCAGGTGTGATGGTGCATGCCTGTAATTCCAGCTACTTGAGAGGCTGAGGCAGGAGAATCGCTTGAACCCAGAAGTTGTAGGTTGCAGTGAGGCGAGATTGCGCCATCGCACTCCAGCCTGGGCAACAGGAGTGAAACTCCGTCTCAAAAAAAAAAAAAAAAAAAAAAGGGCGCTGTTAACATCAGAGGATGGGAGAAGGGAAAAGGCTGAGCATGGGAAATGCTGACCTCTCAATCTAGTCTGTTCCTGGAAGTAACGACTTGGCCAACTGAGGCACGCTATTACACAGCCTAGCTGGCACAGCCGCTGAGCCTCCAGGTTCCAGGGTCACAATTTCTGGATTCAGATCCCATCTCTGCTACTACTGTTAGCTGTATGGGCTTTGGGAAATGATTTGACCTCTCTGAGTCTTAGTGACTTCACCCATGAAACTGGATAAATCAGGGAACCTACTGTGGGGTTGTTATCAACACTGAATGAGGTACTGCTCATTTTCAAGTTTTGCTGGCAGGTGTAAAATAATAATGAATGTTAGATAGAATTAAGAACTCTGGTTCAGGGGCAGAGCAGGGGCTGTTCCCGGAGCCCTTCCTCTCCTTCCTCACTCTCCCAGCTCGCTTGCACCTTGGATGGGTGCTGCTAGACGGTGCAGACACCCACAGCCCCGGCACAGTTCAAGGATATGATCTTCGATTTCTGATGCCATCTTGTCACAGTTGACTCCATAGTCCTTGTAATCATCTAAAAGAGATTCGAGAAATACAGGTATCAGCCAGACACAACGTAGGCAGTGAAGCCTGCTTGTACCTGGGACTAGAGTGTTCCTGTACCATCCCTTGGGGTGCTGAGAAAGACTGAATTTCATCTGCCCTCAGTGAGATTGGGAAAAGGGACTCCTTCCCTCCCTCATCCCTAGCCCAGGCTCTCTCACCGTCCGCCTTCAGGGCTGCTGACAGCATCTCCACACACTTGTCCCGGACAGAGTCCCCTGTGAGATAGCAGGGGGCCAGGAGACACATGGAAGAGGCAAACGTGGGGGTCAAGGGGCTGCTAGGTGTTTTGGGGCTCTCCGCTTTTGATTTGCTGCTGTTTGATCTGAGGATGACAATAAGTAACAGACATTTGACATTAAGAGAGTAAAGCATTTATTGAGCAGCATTCTAGATGTCTTGATGGATGATCTCCTATAATCCTCATAACAACCTCATGAGGTAGGTACTATTTTAGGCACTTGACATGGATCATCTCATTTAATCCTCGTGACAACCCCATGAGGTTGATACTATTCTCATCCCCATTCGAGAGATGCATTTTAAAGTGCATGGTAGAGAAAGATGTATCTAAAGGTGCACTTGGCTCAGATAACACATCGACGAACCAGTAGAAACAGAATTCAAACCCAGGCAGTCGGCTCTTAACCAGCCACTGTGCGTTACTCATTATAGAACAGTGTAACACCACCAATAATTATATGCAATTGATTAGGCACTGTGCTAGCTGCTCTCTATCTATGCTCTCCTAAATGTATGAACTGTTTATTCACTCATTCACTAAATATTTATTACAAACCTATTCTCCAGGCGCTTGTCAAGAACAAAGGATAATGCAGATAAGTCAGCAAAGCTCCTTCCCTTAAGGGGCTTACAGTCTAGTGAATAGTGACTATCTACCACCATTTAAAAGGGCTGGCTTTGCTAGATGCCAGAACTGTGCCAGGCACTTTAAAAGAATTTTCCAATTTAATCTTCATAGCAGTCCCAGGAGGTATACTCTCATCATCTCTATTTTAAGACGAGGAAATAAACCCAGAGAGGTACACCACTGAGATTTGCCTAAGGCTATACACCACCAGGATTTGAATCCACATCTGTCTAATTCCAACATCTATGCTCTTTTTATTAATTTATTTTATTTTTTGAGACAGGGTCTCTCTCTCTCTCTCTGTCACCCAGGCTGGAGTGCAGTGGTGCAGTCATGGCTCACTACAGCCTTGACCTCCTGGGCTCAGGCAATCCTCCCACCTTAGCCTCCAAGGAGCTGGGACCACAGGAGCACGCCATCATGCCTGGCTAATTTTTACCTTTTTTTGCAGAGATGGGATCTCACCATGTTTCCCAGGCTGATCTAAAACTCCTGGACTCAAGCAATCCATCTGCCTTGGCCTCCCAAAGTGCTGGGATTACAGGTGTGAGCCACCACACCCAGCCAACACCTATGCTATAATCTATGATGTACTATCTAAGAATTATCTCATTCAGGTTTTGTTTATATATATGTATATATGTATATATATATATATATATATATATATATATATATCCATATGTGCACAGACATTTAGAAGGCTAACTATGTGGCTCAATCTGTCATAACAAAATATCAGACTGGGAGGCTTCACTAGCAGAAATTTATTTCTCATGGTTCTGGAGGCTGGGAAGCCCAAGATCAAGTTGCTGGCCAATTTGCTTTCTCATGAGGGCTCTCTCTTTGCTTGTGAATGGCAGTCTTCTCATTGTATTCACATGGTGTCTCTTCTCATAGGGACACTAATCCTATTGGATCAGGGCTCCACCCTTATGACCTCATTTAACCTTAATGAAGGCCCTATCCCCAAATACAGTCACAATGGGGTTTGGGATTTCAACATATGAATTTTAGGGGGTCACAAACATTCAGCCCATAATACCATGTTAATAGCAATTATCTCTCTGAGGTGGAATGATAGGAGATTTTCATTTTCTTCGTTTGCTTATGCCTATTTGCTAAATCTTCTATACAGAATTTATCTACTTTTGCGATGTGAGAAACCTTTTTTTTTTTTTTTTGAGAGGGTGTCTCACTCTGTCATCCAGGCTGCCAGGCTGGAGTGCAGTGGCACAATCTTGGCTCACTGTAACCTCCACCTCCCGGATTCAAGTGATTCTCCTGCCTCAGCCTACCTAGAAGCTGGGATTACAGGCATGCACCACCACGCCCAGCTAATTTTTGTATTTTTAGTAGAGATGGGGTTTTGCCATGTTGGCCAGGCTGGTCTTGAACCCCTGACTTCAGGTGATCCACCTGCCTTGGCCTCCCAAAGTGTTGGGATTACAGGCATGAGCTACTGTGCCCGGCCAAAAAAATGCATTCTTGGCAGAAATGATGGAAGTGTAGAAGGCCAAGGTTTGCATGGGCAATGTCAAAGGGCTCAATGCAGCTGGAGCGTGAGGGTGAGGGAGCTTGTAAGAAGGAGAGGGAGTTGGAGAGAAAGGATCTAACCAGACTCTGGGGTTTGTTAAGGATGGTAAAACAAAAGCCACCATTTACCACTGCTCTGCTGTTTATTCTTTTTGGTAACCCTAAAAGTCACAAATTACTGGGCCCATTTTACAGATGATGGAATGGAGCCTTGAAGAAGTGAAGTGTGTCAATCATAGCTCACTGCAATCTCGAACTCCTGGGCTCAAACAATCCTCCTGCCTCAGCCTCCCAAGTAGCTAGGACTGACTACAGGCAGATGCCGCCACACCAGGCTTTTTTTTTTTTTTTGTAGAAATGGGGGTCTCAATATGTTGCTCAGGCTGGACTCAAACTCCTGGCCTCAAGTGATCCATTCGCCTTGGCCTCCCAATGTGCTGAGATTACAGGCATGAGCCACTGTGCCTGGCAAGACTTTGTGATAGTTGCACAACTCCCTCCCTCCCAAGATGTTTTTGCACTATTCTTTAGGGTAGGAGCCAGGAAGTCAGGAAGTCTCTGTCTTCATTCCTCTGCTCTTCTCACCTCCTTTTTCAATAACCCATCAGAATCTGCCAGCCAGCCCCTATATCTCTGTTGAGAAAAAAGTGGACTCATCAGAGTTGAAAAAATTAAGGTCCCCTCCTGGAGTGAAATTAAGACCCACTCGAGGGTCTTACCAAACTGAGCCCTTGTGGAAGCGCCCAGAGAGCTGCTGCATTTCCTCACTCCAGGAGGCACCATTTACATTAGTAGCTTGGTACCTCCTGTAATTATACAGTGCACAGCCTGGGCAGCTGCGCCAGGCAGCCTTGGGGCCTGGATCCACAGCTGCTTCTCATGTTCACTTTCAGGCTGTGGACATGCTACTTCCTTTCAGGAAGAAGAGGATTCTGGACTTCTGACAAAGTCTCTCAGGCCCAGGGAGTTGTGTCTGAGAGTGAGGCTAACTGAGTAGCCCAGGCTTCTCAGGATCAACAACCTGGAGTTACCAGAGAATCCCATCCAACATCCTGCTGGGCACAGCTCAGTGTGGACTCTGCTGGTGACCTCCCTGTCCCCCACCTCTTGCTGTTTGGCCTGACCTTGGATCTCCTCTTTCACCCCAGACCCCTGGACCTTTGGGATTTTTGCATTCTCTAGAGACTTGAGGTTCCTCAAAAGTGCCTCCATGCATACCGGTGAGGTGGGCTGGGGATGGTAAACTCTGTTCTTGTAAGGTTTACATTTTGAATTTCTAAAAATTTTGTCCAAAGGGATTCATTTCCTAGCTTTTATTTATTTTTAATGCAGTTTGAAACTTACTGTCCTAGATTAATCTAGCCTTAATTCTACCCGACCCTGCCTGACAACTGGGTTGCCTGGCAGCATGGTGGAGGGACAGGGAAGCTGAGATCCAAGCAGATTTCTCCTGGAGTCAGATTGCAGCAGGAGGTTTGGGTGAGGAAAGGCTGGACAGGGCGTGAACTCGCGGGGCTGTTGGCATCCAAAACGGATGTTCCTGCCCCCAAGCCTGATCCTGGTCACAGGGTTCCCACCTGAACAGTCACAATAGCCCCAAAACTGGTTTCCCTGTGTCCTCTTCCCCCACTATAATCCATTTGCCAAAGAGCCGCCAGAGGGACTTTTCAAAAATTCACAGCGGATCAAGTCACTCCCCTGCCTCTAACCCTCCAACACAGGGGTTCCCACCCCCTGGGGCCACGGACTGGTACCAGTCTGTGGCCTGTTAGGAACCGGGCCACACATCAGGAGGTGGGCCCTGTTGTGAACTGCGCATGTGAGGGATCTAGGTTGCACGCTCCTTACGAGAATCTAATGCCTGATGATCAGAGGTGGAACAGTTTCGTCTTGAAACCATCCCCTACAAACCCTGGTCCATGGAAAAACCGTCTTCTATGAAACCAGTCCCTGGTGCCAAAAAGGTTGGGGACTGGTGGTGTAACAGCTTCCAATTATTTTTAGCATAAAGTAAAACTCCTGGCCGGGTGCAGTGGCTCATGCCTAAAGTCCCAGCACTTTGGCAGATCGAGGTGGGAGGATCACTTTGGTCAGGAGTTTGAGACCAGCCTGGCCAACATGGCGAAACACTGTCTGTACTAAACATATAAAAATTAGCTGGGTATGGTGGCGCATGCCTGTAATCCCAGCTACTCAAAAGGCTGAGGCACAAGAATCGCTTGAACCCGGGAGGTGGAGGCTGTAGTGAGCTGAGATCATGCCATTGCACATCAGCCTGAGTGACCGAGTGAGACTGTGTTTCCAAAAAAACAAACAAAAACAAAACCAAAAGCTCACCACAGCCTCCCAGCCCCTGCACGTCCTGCCCCTACCCACTTTCTGATGTAATCTCATGCCATGCTCTCCGCATGGTTTACGGAAGGCCTCCACAGCACTGCTTCTTTCTGTTCCTTAAACATACCCATCCCTCCCACTGCCGGGCCTTTGCACAGGCTGGTCTTCCTTCCTGGAATGCTCTTCCTCCTCCAGGTCTCAGCTCGCATGAGGGAGGCCTTCCCTCACCACCTCAGCTGAGGCTGATGGTCCCCGCCCTGTAATTCTCTAGCACATCACCTGATTTCTCGCTTTTACAGCACTTATCCAAGTGTATGATTAGCTTGTTTATGTGTTTATAAACATCGTCTGCCTCCATCTCCAGATTACAGGCTCCAGAGTATTGGGACCCTGTCACGGGTTCACCACTGCATTCCAGCTCCTGTAACAGTGCTCTAGGTGGACACTTGATACATCATTGCTAAATGGATGGATAAATGAATAAATGAATGAATACATGATGAATTGAGGAACTGACCACAGAGAGATGAAAGGCACACCCAGAGGGTCCCCCAGGGCTGAAATGTGGAAAGAGGAAGGTCCTCTTTGGAAGGACAGTGGCCCCACTCTCTGGGCCTAAGAGAGGGATCTCTCTCTCTGGGAGTACGAGAGGGATCTCTCTCAAAGCCAGCCTCTGTCAACTCCCAGGACCCAGGCAACGCCATCTCCTGCAGCTGGGATGGTGTCTCGCTGACCTGTGCGTGCCATTGCACATTCTCAACAGCTATGACTCACCACAGGAAAACTGTCAGGGGAGCCTGCAGCATGCTGCTTTGAAGGAGCCCCAACGAATGACAGTAATAATGGTGGTCGTTTTTGAAACGACTGCACTGAGTTGGTTTACTTATTAAGAACCTAGTCTCTGGAGCCAAACTCCCAGGTTCACAGCCTGAGACCAACACTTTGTAGCTATGTGACCTTGGGTGAGTTCCTTAACCCCTAGGTGCCTCAGTTTTTTTCACACGTAAAATCGGAATAATAATAGTACCCATCTTATGGGGCAGATGAAAGCAACTAAGTGACAAAGTATTAGGCAGTTTACATAGATAACCAGGTTTCATATGAGTATTATTACAAAGTATTATGTATTTATTGAGCATTTACATGGTTTGGGAACAGTGCTGGGTATTTCATTACCTCATTTAATCCTCACAATGACCTTGAAAGGGGTTCATAATTGTCTCCATTTTACAGATCAGTAGACTGAAGCTCAGAGAGCTGAACTGAATTATCCATCCAAGTTACTGCCCCAAGTTATCCATCCAACTAGCAAAGGGTATAGTCAGACCACGAACCTGCCTGTCGCCCTTCCAAATTCTTTTCAACACATCAACTGTGTCTTTAAAAGAGAGGTTTCCAGAGTCCTCCTACCTGAGCAAGACTAGGCTGTTTGGAGCATTTCTTCCCACCTTCCTGGCAGGGCACACCCAGCCCTGGTCCCGCCTCCCCGGTTAGGAGCTGGCTGGCTGGCTGGAATTCGTGTCTGGGCAGCATTTCAGGCAGCCACACTCATTTTGCTTTCAATGCACACGCCTGGGAACTGAGCCAAACTGCAGAGAGGGCATCATCGGCCGGGGTGGGAGGTTGGATTTATCAACAGCTTCCTTCTGCTCCCCGGATGTGCCCGCACCGCACCAGTCCTTAGAAAATCCTCCTGCCCCAGGTCTGAGTAGAGGCATCTGGAGGCCGGGCCCGCTGCTTCTGTGCGCCACCTCGAGGGCATTTCAGTTACTGCATCAGCGAGCATGCTCTGCAAATGGCAAATCATTCTGATAGCCAGGTAAAAGGACAACTGAGAACAGTCAACTTTCTCCCCTGTCAACATGGTATCCTCCGTGGTCTGCTTCCTGGTACTCCAGCTACAGTTCCCAGAGCATCGTGCTCACTCCCACTTCCACACCTTTGGGTGTGCCATTTCTTTCTGCTTGAAATGACTCTCCTGACTCGCCTCCCAAACTCCTCCTATTGACTTTCCATTCTCAGCTCAAATACTTTCTCTTCCACGAAGCCTCCTTTGACTTTTATAGTCATATTGAGACATGCTTCCTATGTTCCCACGGTGTTTTATACCTACCCCTTTCTAAAAACATGCATTTTGGTGTCTGCCTCTGCACTCATGGTTAGCCCTAAGAAGGGAGAGGTGATGAGTTTCAACCTTTGCCTGGCCTTACAGGTCAAAAATGGGTGAGCTACAAATATGTTTTGTCTCCCTATTGTGTCTTAGAAAAATGTGAATATGTTGCTGATACTGAAAACTGGGAGTTTTGGCCAGGCGCGGTGGCTCACACCTGTAATCCCAGCACTTTGGGTGGTTGAGGCAGGAGGATTTCTTGAGCCCAGGAGTTCGAGACCAGCCTGGGCAACAAAGTGAGACTCTGTCTCTACAAAAAAAAAATTTTTTTTAAGTTAGCTGGGTGTGGTGGTGTGCACCTGTGGTCCTAGCTACACGGGAGGCTGGAGCAGGAGGATTGCTTGAGCCCAGGAGGTTGAGGCTGCAGTGAGCCCTGTTTATACCACTGCACTCCAGCCTGGGTGAGATCCTGTCTCAGAAAAGGTGGTGTCGGGGAGTTCCATATGAAA